>NC_000002.12:16903694-17055209 GCF_000001405.40 Homo sapiens | reverse complement strand
ACCATAGTTTTCCTTCTTTGTACTATTGTTATTAGGTTTTGTTAATAAAGTTATACTATCATCACGTGAATTGAGGACGTCTTCATTTTTTCCTGTGGTCTATAATAGAATAACATTGACAGTATTTTCTCTTTAAAGCTTGAATGAAGTCAACTCTAAAAACATATGGCTTTATGTAATCTCTGCATATTGTCCAAGGATATAGCATGGAAATTTTACAAATCTAAAATGCCACTGATTGTAAAACTCCCCATTATTTTCTGTACCACTGAGGAAAATAATGTCAAATTATGTTAAACATTTTTTATTATATAATTTTTATTTTACAGTTATGAAGTAACATTTTAGACATGCAGGAAGAAATCTTAATGTGTTTTTTTGCATAAATAAAAGGAAACCGAATATAAATAATTTGGTTAAAGATTTCCTAAACACCCTTCACATTCAGAGTTGACTATTCTGAGTCCTTTTGTTCTTTATTTAAATCATCAATGTCTATGTAGGCAATATTAGCAAAGTTCTTTACTTTTTTATTTACTTGTGTTATATAATTCTCAGTGCAAGGACATACAATGTATTTTGCTTTTAAACTCAAAATTTTACCAACATTTGTGTTTCCCGTTATTGCTCAATGACCTGCTCTCAGAAAATAACTTCAAATCTGTCATTTTCACTTCTTTATGATATTCTCACATAGACTTTTTTCTTGAAATTTGCATTTAAGCTTAGCTTCTCAGTAAGACTTTATTCCTTAATAAAGGGATTTCAGGCTTCAGCAGGCATGTTAGAAAAAACCTATTTGAGCTGTATCATCCCAAGGCGAATAAACACAACCCTTCTCTGCCTCTCCTTCCCACCCATGGTGATAACCAGCAACTGCTTTTCTAAACTTTCTGTCAAACTGAGGCTCTCACCAAATTAAAAAAAACCCGTTGTGATCTTGCCTGACGAAGAGATTGAGGCCTCATTGAATGAATGCAGGCAGCGTATTATCTTTAGAGATTTGGTGAATGTTGAGATTCATGACTAAATTTTTCAGTTCAGGCTCTATCTTCTATCCTATCCCTTTAAGAGGAAGCTAAAGGCAGACAGTTTTGGTGGACTCTATTCATCTTCATGGAGAAAGATAAACATTGTTAGTCATTTTTTGCCAACTCTTCAGAGTACAGCAGACTCTATATTGTCAGTCCTAAAAGTTCATTTTCTCCTTACCATCCTCCTTGAATTTTGTCAAGATCTGGAGATTGTGGATTCCTCAACAGTGACATGAAATAAATAAGTCTGAGATGGTTAGCATTAGGGCTCTTTCTACTCAGAAAAGAAGCCTTTGGAGTTATTTATA
Source organism: Homo sapiens (assembly GCF_000001405.40). Classification (NCBI taxonomy): domain Eukaryota; kingdom Metazoa; phylum Chordata; class Mammalia; order Primates; family Hominidae; genus Homo; species Homo sapiens. Next base: position 17,053,867 of record NC_000002.12, on the reverse strand, counting down.
GATCCTCTCTTTTGTTGCACTTATCTATAGTTCTACTTTTAGGTTATCACCATATCTTGATTTGTTGTTCTTTTATCTTACCTTCTTAAACATGTATTTTTCTAAATGCATCTTTCTAATTCTTTACTGCATTTTAAAAATCCTATGTGATACTAATGTAAAATTGGTATACTGATAAAGGAATTTGCATTAAAGTAAATATTTATAATATTCAATTTTTCCATTAAGCAACAGGATTCTCTTATTTGTTTAAACAATCTTGTGGGCCAGGCCCAGTGGCTCATGCCTGTAATTCCAGTGCTTTGGGAGGCTGAGGCAGGAGGATCACTTGAGGCCAAGAGTTTGAGAACAGCCTGGGCAAAATAGTGAGGCCACATCTCTTCAAAAAAAAAAGGAAAATTTAGAAAAGTCAGGTCTGGTGGTACACATGTAGGCCCAGATACTCAAGAGGCTGAGGCAGGAGGGTCACTAGAGCCTAAGAGTTCAAGGTTATAGTGAGCTATGGTCATGCCACTGCACTCCAGCTTGGGCAACAGAGTGAGACTTTGTCTCAAAAAACAAAAAAAATGACAACAAAAAAATAAATGAATGACATTGAGAATAACATAATTTGAGACTGTAGTTTCTCTCTAAAAGTTTCCAGATCTCTCCATTTGGGTTTATCCCTAAGTATTTCATAATATCCTTTCTTTATTATTTCTTAATGAAAATGAAATCTCTGTTCTGTGTTTTTTTCTTATATAAGCTTTAGCTTCACCTCTGATTGATAATGAATTTAATCCTCTGAATGACAATTATTCCTAAAGAACATGCAACTTCTGGGCACCAAGTCCCAGGTGCAGCCTGTGGTCCAATCAGTAAGAACAAGGAGTAGTCCCAGTGAGCCTCCTGTGGCCTTGAGCTAGGTGCTGGAGGCTTATTCAGGATTTGAATCACCAGATAAGGCTTTCACCTTTCCACGTGTAAGTAGTTTGCTGTTGACATGGGACAACACCTTTTGTGACCAGTCCCAAGGACTGAGCACGGCCTGGTCTTTTCAACATGCCCACAGCTACATGGGTCTAGTTTCTTATTTTTCTTCTTCTTTTGTCAACTGCTCATTGCTAAAGGAAATAGTCAATTTCCTTCTTTTTTGTCAGTTGCTACTCTGAAGGCACAGGTCAATGTCTCATCCAACTCTCAGTCTCCCAATTCCTTACACTGCCTTGCATAAAGATGACTCTCTATAAACGCTTTGCACAATGAAATGCATAGAAGCAGAGGGGATCATAGACTTATAAACTATCAGATCTGGCAATTCTGTCAGGTCCTTAGAAATTCCAGATCTAATGGAAAAAAAAAACCTCTCATTTTTCCTCTACCTTTGTTATAGAATTCCTGGCTTCTTGATTTAATCATCAACCACACACAATCCTGCCCTAATCTGCCTGTACAAATTTCTTAGACAGCTCAGGCTGCCATAACAAAATATCCATAGGCTGGGTAGCTTACACAATAGAGATTTATTTTCTGACAATTCTGGAGGCTAGAAAGCATAAGATCAAGTTTCTGGCAAGGTAGGCTTTATTCTGAGGCCTCTTCTCTTGGCTCGTAAGAGGCCGTCATCTCACTGCGTGCTGACGTGACCTCTTCTTTGTGTGTGCTCAGAGGGTGTTCAAGCTCTGGTGTCTCTTCTTATAAAAGCACTAATTCCATCATAAGGGCCCCACACTCATGATCTCATCTAACCTTAATTACCTCCTAAAGACCTCATCTTTAAATACCATCACTGGAGGGGTTAGGGCTTCAAATGAATTGTGGCGGACAGAAACATTTGGTCCATAGCACCAACCTTATGTGCAACAGAACCACTCCTCCCCTTATGCCCTGGTCCTTTTTCATGTTCATGCCCTTTTAAGCCAGTCCATCTCCCCGCAAGCAGTTATGTCAGTCTGCATAGCTCTGACAGGACCAAAAACTGGCTGAAGCTGGGCAGCACAGCAGATATAAGGAAGCTAAGGAGTCAGGACCTCACAGAGGGACTTGCAAACAGAGACCAATTGGATTCTGTAAGGTTGTGTTTTCACTTCCTTCCTGCCACCCAGGACAAAGCCTCAGCTGTAGAGAGGGAGCTGGTTCTGCCCTAGGGCTGTGATAATTAATGTCCTTTCTACTAGTCACAGAATAAGGGCCTTGCCAGTCTTTTCTCTCAGGAAGATTCCCTGGCAGTCTTCCAAGACTCTTCTAGTTTCTCCAAACTGAGCTCTACACATTCCTTTAACTGAGGGCAAATGATACAAGGCAGACTTGTACCTGAGGGATACTTGCAGGATGCCACCTCTTAAATCACATGCTCCTTCAGGACAAGGGCTATGTACTTCTCTTTAATAACAAGTTGTAGTGAAATCAGCACAGACCTTGGACTTAGATATTAATTCAAACCTCCAACTCAGCAATCAAAAGCTGTGTGATATCCGACAGGTTAATTTATTTCTCTGAATCCCAGTATTACCTTCTATAAAAGCAGAAAAGTAATATTTAACAACTGAAATAATTTATTTTAAACATTTGGTCCATAGTAGAAAATCCATGGCAAAAAAAATGGTTAGGAACCTCTGAACCCCTTTCTTTTCTCCTTTCTCACTCTGTCTTGTGAGATGGTAGGTGCAGGGTGCAGAATCAATCTTTGTTGGATGAACAATGGAATTAGGGTAGGGGATAGGAAAATAATAAAAATTGATTTGAGATTTTGAGCTTATGGAGTCATTCAAAAGTTAGTTATCTCCTTCCTACTACATATTTTGGCTACAAGTTAGTTTTTCTCCTGGCTAGAAAGCATCATCTAGTAGGGACCTATCCCTCCTCCTTATTTCATAGGGAGAGATCTCTGGAGTATGAGCCAGATAATTGTGTTCCTAATCTCACCTTGACAATTTCAAAGGCACAATAGGAAACTGTCATGAGACCTCATAGCAGTGACAAAGGCTGTTTCAGAATGAATGGCTTCAGAAATAAATTCAAACAATATTTATGGAGCACATATTATTATATTGCTTGCAATGCTGTAGATATTAAGGACTAAGGATAAATAAGGCTTGGCTCCTGTCTGTAGAGTCTCACAGTTTTGATCAAGACAGTTATAAATATGAAATAAATATGAAATAATGTGTAATGTTCAGTGATGGAGATACTTATCAAGTTCACAGACAGCAGGGAGAAGAGGGTAACTGCCTGTGGCTAGGAAGAGGGGTAGAGGACTCTTCACATAGGTCTCCTCTGAGATAAGCCTGGCAGGATAAAGAGGAACATATCAGAGGGACCCAAGGTAAATAGCTTGGGCAAAGACACAAACGTTTCCTCTGATTTGAGAGGGTGTAAGGAATGAGGAGAAGTAAGGAGAAGAAGCAAGTTTTTGTTTGTTTGTTTGTTCGTTTGTTTTAAGTCAAGCTATCCCAACTAGCTGTTATTGGCCAAACAGAGTTCAACAGACATCATGAATGTGCTGCTCAGACACAGCAAGTCCCAAAGTCTACGTATGTGTTTAGCTTTCTGAATCTTCATGTATTCTAAGAGAGACTTAAGATCTATGAGAATAAACCGAAATTGTGCCATATCACAAGCTCTTTAAAATAAACTTTCTAAATGTGATATATAGGAATCAAAGGCCATGAGAGATGTCAGTGGTTCTACCAAGAAATGCACTGTGCGTTCCTGAACAAATCACTCAGTCTCTCTGGTCTTCAATCCCACAGCAGAAACTGAGAAGGTGATGTTGGATGGTTGGCAAGCCCTTTCCAAGCCTAACCCTCCGTATGAATATAGGTGAGAAATGTATTATCAAATTTGGAGCAATTGAAGTACCATCTTTCTGAATTTGTAAAAGCACTAGGAGAATGCATTTAATGAAGTTTTATTGCTTTCCAGTACTTCAAGGAACTGCAAGTCAGCTAAACATGTTAGCAAGTGCTTTCATCAATAGATAAACCTGATTTTAAAATGCCATTATTTGTGCATTGTAAAGTTCCCTGCATATGCTTATAATGATCTGGATTCTTGTTCTTTGGCTGAGCTAACCCCATTTTCATAGAAGATACAAGAAACAATCTCGTTTCAAAACATTATGGTTCTTAAATTAACAGGGTATTGTGTTGACTATGCACAGGCATTTTTAGGAAGTCTCACCCAAGTTGTACAGAGTGATTGCTACTCTTAGTGTCTGGTAAAACATAAAACGTCCTTAAGAGCTCAAGTCCTTTATCATAAAATGGAGATCACCTCTAGGACCCAGGCTACCTTCATCAACCATGGATGAGTTCTGTCTGTTGAGGATAGGGCAATGGTTGCATTTTGCTTCCAAATACCATACCTGAAAACAGAGGTAGAATTTACTTCTGCTGGATGTAATTCAGTTCAATTTCGACCAAGAGCTTCCAGAGATCAGGCTACCTAAGGCTCAAGAAGCAAATATTCGGAGTGGTAACTGGAGCTTTGGACAGTCATCTCAACAAGTGTTTCTGGGGATCAGATTGCAGCTGAATTTAAGTTGAGGACATGGATATCAACCAAAGGTATAAGCCAAAACTAAAGAGAAGAAAAAGTTAAGAGCATCCGGCACTGAATTATATCCAGCACAAGTGGATTCTACTTGTTTCTGCCACACAGTAACTCCATGTTCTTGATAACTTTTAACTTTTCTCCCTCGATGGACCTTAGTCTTCCCAAATATACTAGGAAGGAAGTGAACCCTTAAATCTGCCTTGAATCTTAGACTTGTAGTGGGGAGATGCCAGCAAAATTACACTGGATTCATTCTTGCTGTTAAATTCTCAGTGATAAATGTGTTTGGCTAGTCCACGAGGAAACAATATTGAGTTTCAGTCATATCCCTGAAGTTGATGTTCCTGATAATAGAGATTTTTGTGACCTGTCCAAGGTCACACTGCAGATTACTGCCAGAGGAGAAATCTTGTTTCACTGCTAATTCATCTATCATGTGGTCTGCCCGGGGATGTCAAGGTGATGAGTGAATCCTATGAAAGCCACAATAGATGAGGAACAGCTATTAAAGCAGTTAAATTAACAAATGAATTTGTCCCAGATACTTGGGCTCTAACCTTTTTCTTCTCTTTAGCTCTGGCTTATACCTTTGGTTGATATCCATGTCCTCATCTTAAATTCAGCTGCAATCTGGGCTCAGCTGCAGCAGGTCCCTATAAACACTTGTTGATATGACTGTCCATAGTTCCAGTGACCACTCCAAATATTTGCTTCCTGAGTCTTACATAGCCTGGTCTCTAGAAGCTCTTGGGGAAAATGTGCTATCCCTGATGAAGAAGAACAGAGAAAGTTTTCATCTCATCAGTCTGTAATGGTTCTGAAACTGTTGGGGGTTGGGTTCACTGGACAATAAGTTTTTCATGTTGCCAAATTTGATTTCTTCCTCAAAAACAGCAAGCCAGCAGGAACAAGGGAAAACCAGGCTATGCTCCTCATATGGAAGAAGAACACATGGAATAAATAGAAACATTAGTGAAAAAATGCATTAAGTCAGTTTTCAAATTTCTGGAGCTGAATTTTAGTTTGACAAAAATAGCACAGTACACCTCCACCCCACAAGTTGATCAGAAACTCAGGAGTATAGAACAAAGAATCAGCAATAACAGTGAAAAGAGAGAAATATATGGGGAGGAACTTAGATGTAAGATTGATGGAGTGGGAACTAGATGAGTTTGAAAGATGTGAGCATCAATGAAGTTAATTATAATAACACAATTTGTAGAACAAATTTATTCATTTAATCATTTTTTAGTTACATGTTTATACTGTGCCTATTATGTGTCAGGCATTCTTTTTCTAACTTTATGTATGAATGTGTCACTTAACAAGGTAGACAAAATCCTCAATTCTGACCTACTGGTGAGTTGAGAGACAGCTGCTATATTCATAACAAAATAAATCAAGAAGATAATTTATGATAGTGAAAAATCCAATGATATGGTTAAAGTCCCAATACCAACAATACCAAATGGTGATGAGAACATGGAGCAATAGGAACTCTCATCCATTGCTAGTGGGAATAGAAAATGGCACAGCCACTTTAGAAGAAAATGTAACAGTTTCTTAGAAAGCTAAACATAGTATTACCATATGATCTGGCAATCACACTCGTAGGTATTTATTCAGATGAATAGAAAACATATGTCCACACAAAAACCTGCAAATTAATGTTTATAGAAGCTTAATTCCTAGCTGCCCCAAATTGGAAACAACCAAGATGTTATTCAATAGGTGAATGGATAAACAAACATCCATACAATGGAATATCATTATTTAGAAATGAAATGAGCTATCAAGCCACAGAGAGATATGAAATAACCTCAAAAACATATTGCTAAGTGAAAGATGCCAATCTGAAAAGGCTGTCTAGTGTATGATTCCAACTATATAACATTCAGGCAGAGGGAAAGATGAATAGGTGGAGCACAAAGGATTTTAAGGGCAGTGAAACTATTCTGCATAACACTGCGATAGTGGATATGTATCATGCCTTCGTCAAAGCTCATAGAATGTTCAACACAATGAAGCCTCATGTAAACTATGGATTTTAATGAATAATAATATATGAATACAGTTTCATCAATTGTAACAAATGGCCACACTAATGCAAGATGTTAATAATAGGGGAAATTGCAAGGGGGAGAGGCAGTATATAGGCTCTCTCTGTATTTCCTGCTCAATTTTTTTATTAATCTGAAAGTGCTCTGAAAAGTAAAGTCTAATAATTTTTTTAATGCAATGATAAAGAATCAGAATGATAGGCTAACAAACGCCTCAGGCAAGAGGGAGAAGGGACAGTAAGATCAATAGGATCTTTAGGAAAGTCTCTCTGAAAAGTTGCTATCTCAGCTGACTGCCGAATAATGAGAAGAGCATTCCAGGCAGTGGGAAGAGCAAATGTCAGGATCCTAATGAGAGAACATATCTACTTCCTTTATGTTATTTTATTCATACAGTGACTTTCTGAGGTTGGCCATTCAGAGATTTTCTATTTTCATTTTTATGAAAGTACAATTGAGGCTCAAGGATTTAACCAAGGATTCAGACAACAGAGAGCTATTTAGATGCAGGGAAGACAAGGATCTAGGTCTTCTGGGGGAATATTCCATGCACATTCTAATCTACCATGATGGTAGTAGGCTGTAAAGTTAGAGGAAATTCCAAATATCTACGGACTCACACAGAAAATTCTATCTAAACTGATTGATCCCTTTGTAGACAAGTCTAAGTTCTTCTTTAACTTGGGACATGACCATTTGAGTGCGTGGGTTTTGGGCACACCCAACTGGCTCAGCATACCACAGCACACAACCCCTTCCTTCTTATTCCACATTGATTTTTGCATGGTGCTTGCTTTTTATCCCAGCAAGCTCCTACAACCCAACTTCACAAACTTACCAAAACATGGAAAGAAATCAGCTCAATCTCATGTTGAACCTGGGAATAACCTTGAGGTTGCAGTTCTCACCATTTCCCTCAGATGTGTTAAATATCCTGCATAACCCTGGGAGTCTGCTTGAGTGCCCTAGGTACCTTGGCACAATTTTTAGAAACCATGGGCATAAAAGTTGTTCATATGCACTTTCCAATCATTTTTTACTGTCTTCTACCAGTGGAATTTTTATTTGCTTATCTGTTTATTTTAGCCCAACGTAATGATCTGTATATAGCTCTATCTAATATCAATTTCAAATTTTTAGATTTGGTTGAATATTTCGACCATCAGTAATTCTGTGGATTGTGATTCTGCCATCAATCATATCAAATTTTGGCAGTGTACCCAATGTCTTTATCCAAATTATTGTTATGTTGCATAGGACAGAGCTACTACAATCCTCTCTTCAATCTGATTCTGAGGGAGAAATTAAGGAACTTACCTTGAAGCCAGTCAATTATTAAGTTAGGCCTTAATCCATTAGTATCATAGCCAAGAGTAGATTTCTTCACCTTGTCCACAAGGCGATCACAAAGCCCTCATTAAGGGACTTACTAAATTGTTTAATTTGTCAGACCAGGAATACTACTTGAAAGCAAGTCATGGTTTTTCATTCATCATTTTATTCATTAATAAAATTAATTTCAGCACCTTCCATGTCCAGACACTATTATAGGTTGTAAATAAGAAACACAGAATTTGTCTCTGCTCCAAATATTGCTTAGGGAAGACTCAGTAATTAAAAAAAAAAATCACACAAATGCGCATACAACTGCACCTTCACACGTGCTTCAACGGAGAGATATGTGGTACTCAAAACACATAAAAAAATGAAATTTGGCCTAATAAATAGCTCAGGGGAGGAACAACTGAGGATGTGCAAATATAATGCTTTACCTGAGATCTGAAGGTTGTACAGGAGTGAACCAGAAAAGAGGCAGGACAGAGGTGGATGATATGGTTTGCCTTTGTGTTCCCACCCAAATCTCATGTCAAATTGCAATCCTCATGTGTTGAAGGTGGGGCTTGGTGGGAGGTGATTGGATCATGGGGGTGGTTTCTAATGGTTTAGCACCATCTCCCTAGTGCTGTCTTATGATAGAGTTCTCATGAGATCTGTTTGTTTAAAAATGTGTAGCACTTCCCCCCCTTGTGCTCTCTCTCTCCTGATGCCATGTGAAGAAGGTCCTTGCTTTCCCTTCACCTTTTGCCTTGACTGTAAGTTTCCTGAGGCCTCCCAGTCACACTTCCTGTTCAGCTGGCAGAACTGTGAGTCAATTAAACCTCTTTTCCTCATGAATTACATAGTCTCAGGTAATTCCTTATAGCAGTGTGAAAGCGAACTAATACAGTGGGGAAGGTGGGGAAGAGAGAAAACAGTCATGCCTGTACACAGCCCTGTGGTGGCGGAAGTGCTGAGCTAGGCTGGCTAATGGCAGGGAGCCAGGGAAGCAAGGGGCAGACCAAGGGGGAAAGGAAGTTCTGTGCTACTCCTATGAGAGATTTGTCTTTATCCTTTGAACATGGAGTGCATCATTTGAGCACACCACGGAAGTGTTCCATTGAAAGAGTGCCTGGTCAAATTTACATTTAAAAATTACTTTACATCTTAGAGAACTAACTAGAGACTTCCTGCTGTCTACGGATCTTCTAGGATCCACCCCAGGAATTCAGTGATTCCATCACACAGGCCCCAGATATGTCTTTCATCAAGGCCAGCTGGTTTGAGCTACTTTAAAGCCTCTGAAAGGTCTCTTAGAATCTTCCTGCCTGTGTGAGGCTCTCTACCTGCCTAACAGAGCTCTTTCTTCCCCTTGTACTTTGAAGATCACTCTCAAACTAGGGACTCTGTGGGGTGGCTGTGGACCCTTGTACCCAGCAGCACTGACAGAGCCACTCCAACAGAGTTTGGAGGACACTGGTCATTTCACCAAGTCTGACTCCATAACCCAGCTACAGCTGGTAATAGTGATCACAGCAATAACCAGCGTTGTCATGGAACATTGGAGTTTGATCCTCATAACCAATTTGTAGACTGAATATCACTGTTACTATATTTATAAATGAAGCAAAGAAGGAACAGAGCATTGAAGTAATTTGTTCAAGGTCATAAGCTGAGGATAGAGCAGAAGAGAGATTCATGCCTGGGTCTCCTGGTTTCAAATTGTATGGTTTCTCCACTGCCCTGTGATTCCTCAGTGACTGGGCAGGAGGTTCTGTAGAGACAAAGCTCCCATCAACTTGGCTGAGGATTCCCAGCATTCTAACCCACTGTGAGGCTCAAGTGCCTCATCTGTAAACTTGTGATAATCATAGCTTATGCATCCTTTCCCAGGTGCTGCTCTATATGCATTACATGTGCTGACCCATTATTCCCCACAAGTGCACCATATGTGTACATGTGTTATTATTTCTGTTTGTCAGATGGAAAAACTGAAACAGAGCGAGAAATGATGGAACTGGACTCTGGGCAGTCCGTCACCAGAGCTGATGTTCTCCAGCATCCCCCGCCCCCTTTCATGATGTCTGACTTTGAGAATCAAACACATTAGTCATTTAATTTTATTTTTTTAGAAATTTCTATTTATGATTTTATACTAAACATTTACATATTTCTATATTTACAAAAACACCCTTCTTGGGGGCCTATCCACCAAAGGCACTGCATTCCAATGATTCAATTTTTGACTTAGACAAATATTAAGTGACCACTTTGCAAGCTACTGGTATGAAGAGAAACATGGCATTGGGATTGAGGACACCTGGGTCCTCATCCCTGCTCTGCCACCAAATTGCTGTGTGACCTTAAGCAGGTCACAACCTTTGGGATGTGCAGATTTCTACTTGGTAATAAATGTGTGAGTCCATGGATCAGGTCTTTATTTTCATTTAGCAGTGGTGAAATCGATGTTATCTCTTCAGTGATAAAGCTGCAAAAAATATTGAGATGACCTAATCTGATGAGTTTATTCTCTTGATTCAGAAAGTAGGGCTAAGGATAACAAAATGACTCATTTAAAATCATCTAGCCAGGAACAGAGTCAGAACAAGAATCCCCACTTCCTGACATTTAGCAAAATACTCTTTCCTTTATGTCACACTGGCTTACTCTCCCTGTAAAAATCAACAGATAGTTCTAAGATGTTAAGGTGCTTCCAGAAATTTTATTAAAATTTCAAGACTTATTGCCATTATTAATTAAACCCTACATTTTTCATTAAATGCTTTTGGTCACTAATTTCAGAATTCCTATTATCAATGTCACCTTATTCAATGACATATCTGGAATGCCCTGGACTTTGTGGAAAGAGGCTTTTGTATTCTGGTACATATTATCAGAAAAGATAAGCGCATGGACTTTAGAGTTGTACCAATGTTGAAAACTGGGCTTTACCACGTACTAATTATGTGTCTTTTGGTAAGTAGATAGTTGCTCTTCATCTCGGTTTTGTTATTTGAAAAATAGAAGCAAAGAATTGTATGTAATAAAATTAGTTAAGTTTATAAGTAAACAGTGCATGGTGTGATTTTGGGATGTCTTTCCATAAAAGATCTTTTTTTCCAACTTTAAACTCCTTTTTTTCCCCCCAAAAAGTAATTCTTTGCTCAGTCTAGGATTTCAGATGTTGGATTTTGCAAGAAATATGGCTCTAGAGTGTAATCCAGCCAGGAATTTTTCTCAAGGAGAACTGAAACCTCAGTTATTAAACTGTGAGAAGACTTATTTCTAAAGGATTTACTTTCTCCCTAATGAGATCAGGAGCTTCTGTTATGGGCCTGAGTTTCTCCTAACATAAAACTTCAAAGGGATCAATTTACTGATACTCAGGACTGCTGCCCTAGTTCTGTGGTCTCAGACTGAGTATTTTCAGCTTTTGGAAGCCTTTTTTTCTTTTTTTTTTTTTGCCTTTCAAGCTATCAGAGAGAAGGGCAGAGGAAGCACCAAATAACCAATGTGGAAACATCAATCAAGAAAGAGCCGTATATACTCTTTTTTGCTATTAAACCATTTCCCGCCCCCCCCCCAGATTCCTCCCCAGTGGTCGTTCTTCTTCATGGGATGCTATAAAATCCAACATTACTTGTTGAAAGTACAGGGGGCTGTCTACATTTCCCACTTGATTTTGAAGATAAAACACCTTTATATACATTAATGATCATGAGGATAATCATAATTATGGAGATCATGACAACACAGCTAACATTTATGAAGCTTTTTATGGGTCAGGGGTCAGGAAAAGGTTTTCATTCATTCATTCCACAGATGTGAAAGAAGTGATAGATCCCTGCCAAGCAGTAGTCTAGGCCAGAGGGCACAAGGGTGAACAAGATGAAAAGGAACCTGCCTTTTGCAGTTTGCATCTTGCTTTCCAGTGAAATCCTTACTATGAATTACCTCATTTGTTGCATGAGCACACTAATTTATTTCCCACCCTAAACATAGGAGAAAGATACAACTATTTTTCATTTCCACAGAAGAGAAAACTTAGACTGAGAGAAATTAAATATGTGTCCAAGGTTCCAAAGTAAGAATGCGATTCAGCTGGATTTGCACCCAAGAATAGGATTTCACAGCCTGGGCTCTGAAACACATTATCTCATCAAATCCTCAGTATACTCCACCCTGGTGATTACATTAAGGATTATGAGGAAACTACTGGTTAAGTTACTCTCTCTGTATTCTAAATCTTGGATTTAAATTCAGGACTCCCATTTGTCAACCAATTCTCATCCTTCCAATCACATGCTTCACACGTGTAGGGCCACACATGAACACATACACATGCGCACACACAGGCAGCCTCTGCCTTCAGTATGCTCTTTTGCATATGAACAGTTTCTCTAAGTGGAAAAATACAAACTCTTCATGGAAACTGCTGGGCCATCTCTTATATATGGAGAAAGCAACCTCCTTCTTTCAAGTCAGGGATTTTATCCCAGGGATTTCATTTCAGAGTGATAGTTATGTTATTCATTTGAAATGCAGTTGGGTTCATTTGTTTCTTTTACATTTTAGGTTTTACTTTTATCTCATCCTTATAGATCTTGTCACAGTTTTTGAATTTGTAGAGCATTGACATTCTTCTAAAAGTAAAAATGACATACTCAGAAAAATATCTTCCCTCCTTATAACTTTCACTCAGTTTCCCCTTTTATTGTTTTTTGGTTTATCCTTCCTGTGTTTTATTTTGTAACAGTAAGCAGACAGATGTTATCTTACTTTATTTTTTTCTTACTCAAAAGTTAGCATATTATATATGCCTTTTGTACTTTTTGTTTGTTCATTTAAAAATACATAAAATTGCTTCATATCAGTTCACCCTCATTCATTTTTCCTGCCATATAACATTCCATTGTGTGGATGCAACAGAATTTGTTTAACCGATCTCCTATATTTTAATATTTTGATTGATTCTAATATCTTGAAATTACAAATAATGTTGCAAATAATAACCTTATACATGTATATTTTCCTATTGTTGGACATTAATCTTCAAATAAATTCTTTCTTTCTTTTCTTTTTCTTTTTTTTTGAGATGGAGTTTCGCTCTTGTTGCCCAGGCTGGAGTGCAATGGTGGGGTCTCCCCTCACTGCAACCTCCGCCTCCTGGGTTCAATTGATTCACCTGCCTCAGCCTCCTGAGTAGCTGGGATTACAGGTGCTCGCCAACACGCCTTGCTAAATTTTGTATTTTAAGTAGAGGCTAGGTTTCACCATGTTGGCCAGGCTGGTCTCAAACTCCTGACCTCAAGTGATCCACCCACCTCGGCCTCCCAAAGTGTTGGGATTACAGGCATGAGCCACCGTGCCTGGCCCAGATAAATTCTTAGAAGTGAGATGTCTGGGCTGAAAGGGAAATGAAGAGGTTGTTTTGCTAAATTTTAGGTGTTGCTAAATTTCCCTCTATTGTCATACCACTTTTATGTCCATCAATAATGCATGAGAATGACTGTTTTTGCACAGCCTTGCCAAGAGCATGTTTCATCAAGACTGAATCTTTTGTCCATCTAATTGGTAAGAAAATATTTTCCAGTTAAGCTTTAATAATTTAATTTTCTTATCATGGATGAGATTGAGTACTTTTACAGAGGTTTAAGAGCCATTTCTCATATATATATATATGAATTTTCTTTTCATGTTCATTTTCATTTTTGGTCTTCTCACCAATTATAAAAATCTTCATATGTTAAGGAAAGTAGTTTTTACTCATTATATATGTCACAAATTTTCCCACAATGTCCATTTTCTTGTGACTTTACCTACATATTTTTAACCATAATTTTATACAAATTTTTGTAGAAAAATAATCAATATTTTAAATTGACTCTGGATGTTGTGGCATAGATACTCTTTCTCTACACCCAGGTGAGAATAATTTTATTCCAATCTGTGGATAGTTGGATTTTTTTAAACTTAGGTGTTTAATCTATCATGATTCCCTTCTTACATATGATGTGAGAAATGAATCTAATTAAAACCATCTTCAGATGGCTATTCAGTTATCCTAACACCATTTATTAAAAACTCCTTTGCTCTCATTGATATGAGATATTTCCTTTTTTAGATACCAGATTTCCACATGCAGCTCAGTGTAATTTTAGAATTTCTATTCCGTCTCATTGGTCTTCTGTCTATGCATGCGTTAGTATTTATTTATTTATTAGGTTTAGCTGTATGTTTTAATATCTGGTAAGACTAGTCCTCCCTTCCTCACAGGCCTTCTTTTACTGTATTATTATAACTATAATTACATATTATTATTTATTTAGTTTTTCCTATATGGACTTTAGTATCAACTTGTCTAACTATAGCAAAATACCTTGTTTGTATTTTTATTGGGATAAACTAAATGTTTAACTTAGAACTGACATTTTCGTGATGTGTTTTAATGGTGTATCTTTGTATTTATTCAAGTGTATGTAGGTGTCTTTCAAGAGTGTTTCATAATTATTGTTGTTTCCTTAATATAGGTTTTGCACATTTCTTGCTAAGTAATATAAACATTTTTGTTGCTATGGTATTTTCTCTTTCAAGGGGTTCTTAATGCTGCATAGAAAGCATATTGATTTCTGTATTTTAATTTTTATCCTGCTATCTTAACAAATGCTTATTTTTATAATTGGCTTTATCATAGATTCAGTCATATTTATAGAATATAATGTTATGTCATTGGCAAATAAAGATATTCTTATTATTCTTTTCCAATTCTTGTATCCCTAGTTTTTTCTCTTACCCAATTACATTCACTAATACTGCCAGTAAACTATTATATAATATTGGAGTTATTGTGTGGTTTGACCGTAATTCTTTATGTGTCTCTTTCCACACATACATATTTATATTTAAATATTTTAGCCTTTAGAAATGTTTGTGTTTTGATAGTATTGGTTATATTTGTATTTATAAAACTTGTATTGCCCTTAAATTTTACTATCAGGTCTATAATTTTGTTATTTAAATTTTACTATCAGGTCTATAATTTTTATGTGGTAAACATTGATTCTTACCTATTAATTATAGAGTAGTCATTGTCTAATTCTACTTTCTTTTTCACTTTTCCCAGTTATTCTAGTTATGTTCCTTCTGCTTTATCAGAAACATATATTTATATTCAATTTTCCAGTCCGCTCCAACTTTGCTTAATTCTTTGTTCTACAATTATACACGCACTCATTAGTGTCTTCTTGACAGTTTCCCCCGTCAACCCTTAGATTTCTGGAGCCCGTCTTTTAACATACTCCTCAGAAAGAGCTCAGGGGAATAGCAGTCCTTGAATCCTTTCACAGTCAAAACTAGCTTTCTATCCTCTTGTTGCTTAAAGGCTTGGCTAGATGTCCTTGCATTTCTTGTAAAATTCTCCCACCACAGCATTGCCTTATATTTATTCTTGAGAGACTTGATGCCAACCTACTTTTCTTGCTCTAACAGTGCCAAGGATTTTTCTTTGTTTTTTGCTTTTAAGAATATTCTTGGCCGGGGGCGGTGGCTCACGCCTGTAATCCCATTACTTTGGGAGGCCAAGGCTGGCAGATCACGAGGTCAGGAGATTGAGACCATCCTAGCTAACATGGTGAAACCCTGTCTCTACTAAAAATATAAAAAATTAGCCGGGCGTGGTGGCGGGTGCCTGTAGTCCCAGCTACTCGGGAGGCTGAGGCAGAAGAATGGCGAGAACCTGGGAGGCGGAGCTTGCAGTGAGCCGTGATGGAGCCTCTGCACTCCAGCCTGGGCAACAGAGCAAGACTCCATCACAAAAAAAAAAATAAAACAGAGTATTCTTGAAGTTAATTTTTCTAAATCAGTTTTCCGAGGTGCCAGAGGACCCTCAGTTTATTAATTTATGTTTTCTTATTTTTGGAAAGGCTTCTTGGATTGTAGTTTTAAATATTAGTTCTGTTTCAAAGTATTATTCGGAAATTCTCATTATACTTCCTTTCTTTGTTTTCTATTTAAACTACTTTTTCTCTGACCATGTTTTCTTCTTTATTTCATTTTTATTTCCTTGACTGTTTTCTGTTTTTGTTCAATTCTTCTTGTTAGATTTTACTTGAATCTATTCTCCCCTGGCAACCACATAATTCAGTCTTCATTTCTGAGATGGTTTTATTTTTTTCTTTATTATATTTGATTAGTTTGATCAACTCTTGCTGCATCTATTTTAGTTTCTGTTGTTCTTTGCTGTTCTTACTTTTTCAATTTCTGACTTGAGATGTTATCTGAACAAGCTTATTTATGGATTCTTATTGAAGTTTGGAGTATTGTGTTTTATTTTTCTTTCTGTATTTTGTTAATTTAGGGAGGTGAAAGTGCCCATCAGCTGAAATGTTTGATTCAGATCTTCTGTTTTTTCCTTATGATAGCTTTGTCTAGAGGTGGATGTTTTCCTGTTTCCAGGTAGTTTGTGTCAAGGGCTCTTTCTTCAAGCTTGCACTCTTCTGCCACGTTACTAAAGTGTGGTTTCTTTAAAGGGTGATATTGATAATATTAAGGGGAAGAAAAGCAATTGGCTTGTTACCTTTGTCTTTTATTTCTGCAGGAAACAACTTTTCCTCACTGTTCCTTCAGGTAGCCTGTAGAAGGACATCATTTGAACACCATTCTTGATAGTGAAGTGTTAGAAGTAATGAAGGAATCAATTACTAGGGAGTGAGGTAGGCAAAACAAATATGCAGCAAAATGAGTAAGTCGTAAAAATATATCATTAGGTTAAAAAATAAACAGTAGAATAAAATTAATAGAACATTGTCATTTATGCCAATTAAAACAATTTATATAAAAGTATTTGAAAAGCCATATCAAGCACATTACAGTGGAACACTTTGGAAGGGAGAAAGAGAGGAATGAAGGTCTAGGTAATAAAAAAATATCCAAAACAAAACAGGAGTGGGTACTTATACAAAATGATTATTATAATATGTCCAGAAATATAATTAATTCAAATGTCTGCACATGTATACATATGTAACAAACCTGCATGTTGTGCACATGTACCCTAAAACTTAAAGTATAATAGTAATAAAATAAAAAAAAATGTCTGCAACTAAAATAAGTTAATCAACAACCTTGAGCAAGCCTCTCTTGTAGCTCCTTAGGGGACCCACCTGAAACTCATAATTCTGACCTCACTGACCAGCACCAGGAACCAGGAATTGTGCACATCACTGTGCCCGCTGAAGAATAGCTGACCCAATACCTTCACTAATGCTCAGACTGAATTCTTCATATTGCCTCTGTACCTCTCCTCTTCTCTACATTAATTCCTGGTTTCTGATAGAGATCCAGTTACTATAGCAACAAAACCGGCCTTCCAAGACGATGTGTAAGTCTGAAGTGCGTGAGGCAACCTGCCATTGCAGGTTTTTGCTTGATTTTATACAGGAGTACATTTGTGTTTTGTGAAGAGAAGTGATGATCAAATGATTTCCAAGGTTTTATTCTTACGTGAATACTGGAATTCTCTACACTGATTTCCATGAAATAGAACCAAATATAGTAGGAAAGTTATGCAGCAAAAAGGCATTTCTAGAAAACAAATTATTAGATTACAAAAATTTCCTAAGCTTACCTCCTTCCTTTTTTTTCTATCTTCCTTCCCTTCTTCTATCTGCCTATCATTTTTTCCTTCCTTCCTTCCTTCTAGTTAAAAAAAATACGTATTATAAACATCCAACCTCTCACAGAACTACTGTATGGGAGGAAACCAAGCAAACAGCTAGAATGGTGCTTTAAATGCTATGACAGAGAGGAGTACAGTAGTAGGAACTCAGAGAAATGCCACCTAACTTCTTGGCAGAGCGAGAGTTGTTTCTGAGAAGGTGACGTTTATTTTGGTACCAGAAGGGTAAATGGGAGTTGACTAGAGGATTAGGAGAAAAAGTACCCTCTAGGCAGAGAGAATAATACATGCAAAGATAAGGGCCCATGTGAGTGGTTGATGTGCTTGGGAAATGACCAGTGGTGCAACATGGGTAAGGGGAATGAGGAGGATATTAAATCTGAGAGGTAGATGGGCAAAGTCAGAAAGATCCTGCCCCTCGGTCACTGTGATCCCAACCCTGCTGGCCTGTTTGTAGCTCCTCAAATACACCAAGCACATTTCCACCTCAGGATTTTTGCTCCTGTTGTTATTTCCATGTGAAATACCCTTCCCTTGAATATCCACATGGTCCTATGTCTTTTCATTCAGGATCTGGTCAAATGCCAGCTTCTCAGAGCAATCTTCCCTTGACCACCTTATCTAAAGAAGCCCTCCAACTCCAATCACTTGTGGTCTTTTTATTTTTTTCTCACTTCCTTACTGAACCTTTCACTACTTTCCATTTTTCATATATTCATTTGCTTTTCTCTTTTTGGCCTGTCTCTCCTACTAGAATGTAAGTGCTATAAGGGCAGAGGCTTCATTTTTCTCGACTCTGTTCCTGGCACCTGTAATTCTGAACAGTAAGCACTGAATATTTACTGAATGAGTGAATGAATATTTACTGAATGAATGAATGACAGTCCTTTTGGCCTGTTTCTCCTACTAGAATGTAAGTGCTATAAGGGCAGAGGCTTCATTTTTCTTGACTCTGTTCCTGGCACCTGTAATTCTGAACAATAAGCACTGAATATTTACTGAATGAGTGCATGAATGAATAAACATAGTGGAAGCAATTGGGACTTTATCCAAGTGGAACTCAGTGACCTTGCATAGTGGAGTGACATGTTTCGCTTGTGTTACAGATTTCTTGGGAAACTGGAGTGGGGATAGATTAGAAATAAGGAGACCATGGCCAGGGTGACTAGTTTCAGAGCACATGTGGCTAAATAAATGTGGGTAACATGAGATAGATGACTCCCAGGTTTTTTTTCTTGAGAGAGCAGACTAGATGGTATTTATAGGTATAAAGAAAAAGGAAAAAAGGAGATCAAGTTTTAAGTCAGGAGTAGAGTACTATGATTGGAAGTCTGTTGTTTTGAGTTGAGAAGATTAAAGACCCTAGGGGGTCATCCAAGGAAATAAATACAGTTAGAATTTGAAAATTCAGTTCAGAATTCAGGAAAGAAGCTAGGAATTTAGTTTAATTAATTTTGTCCTTACTGTGCAATATACATTAATTCACACCATATTTATTGATCTCTTACTATTCGGGCATTGCCCCGGCTACTAAAGATACAAAAAGACCATGAAGATTCCCTAGGGAGCTTAAATTCTGATGGATGATTTTAAAAAAATCAGCAAGTAAATACAAAATATAATGTCAAGAAGTGATAAGCACTATGAAATTACTATGAAGAAAATAAAACTGTGTGATATGAAAAAACATACTGCCTGGGAGATTGGCAACATAAGCTGATGGGTCTGATGGTCAGGAAAGGTTTTCCTGAAGATAACATTTATGCTGAGACTTGAATAACAGAGGAGCAATAGTACAAAGGTAATAATTGTCCACACAAAAAGACAGCAGTTCCTTAGGAGAAAGTCATCTTGGGAAGTTAGAGGACCATGATGAAGCCTAGCATAGCTAGAGCAGGGAGAGAGGCGAGAATGAGAGGGAGAAAATCTGGTTGCTGTCAGATGATAGGGAATGTGTCAGCTATGATAGAGTGTGGATTTTACTTTAACAATAAGAATAAGACAAAGTATTTTCAGCAGATGAGTGATATAATATTACTTACATTTTAAAAAATCACTAATTTTTTAGGGGAGAGATTGCAGAGGGCAAAAGAGACAGAAAAGAGATGAGTTATCTTGAAGGTATTCAGGTGAGAGCTGAAACAGGAAGAAATAGACAGACCCAGGATATGATTGAGATGGATTAAATATGTTGACCGAGGGGAAAAGATTCAGTAATAGGTAGAAGTGGCATCATTTATTGTGATGAAAGGGAATATGGAAAGGAGAGCTTGGGGGAATCTAATCAAAGTTACTTTTAGGCATATTAGGTTTTACATGCCTGCTAGAAATTCAGCTGAAGGCCAGGCATGATGACTCATGCCTGTGATTCCAGCACTTTGGGAGGCTGAGGCAGGCAGATTGTTTGAGGTCAGGAGTTCGAGACCAGCCTGGCCAACATGGTGAAACCCCATCTCTACTAAAAATACAAAAATTAGCTGAGTGTGTGGCACACATCTGTAATCCCAGCTCCTCGGGTGGCTGAAGCAGGAGAATTGCTTGATCCTGGGAGGTGGGGGTTGCAGTGAGCCAAGATTATGCTACTGCTTTCCAGCCTGGATGACACAGTGAGACTCTGTCTCAAAAAAAAAAAAAAAAAAAAGAATCTCCAACTGAAAAACATCAGGTAAGCCATTAGTTAGGCAAGTCAATTTTGAAAGTTAACAGCATGTAGATGGCATTTGAAAGCCTGAGGTTGGATGAGATCATTTCAAGAGAGTATCTAGAAAGAGAACAGTGCCCAGGACACATTCCTCAATGTTAAGACTCTTCAACATTGACTACAGAAGCTGACTAGAGACAGCAAAATAAATTCAGAGGAAGCTTTCTGTGAAATAGGAGAAAACAAAAGGGAGACTATGCAGTCAATGGCTTCAGTCGAATAAAATGTTTCAAGAAAAAAAGGAGCATTTAAATTTGTCAAATGCTGGCAGGGTGTTAGATAAAATACAGAAAGGGAAAGGGCCGTTGGATCCCCTCATGGGGAACACTGGTGAGTTTTCCAAGAGCGTTTTTAGTGGAAAAGATGGATATGTGATTGGAATGGATTGAGACGAGACAGGAAGGTGTGGAACTTGAGACATCAAGTTCACATTAAGTAAACATCAATAATTCACATTTGGCCATCTTGCTTACTGTGCAACAACGTTATGTGATAAGAGTAATGAGGCCCATTTTCAGGTGAAAAAACTTGAGATAGGTTAGGTGGAAGTGAGTCAGTCAACAAATCTAATATTGAAGTCTTTTTTACTTATCAAGGTGTGGTTTAGGCAACACAAATATAATTATGAGCTCATGTTTGTTCTCCTCAGAAGTGGAGAAAGAGAAAAGAAACACAAAAGAGGCAAGCGTGATTGACAGTGGCTGAGATGAAAGGGTTGGGCATGGCTGCTTCAGCTACCATTGAGCAAGTCCTCTCTGAGGAGAAATTATTGGAGAAGGAGAAGGGAGCACACAAAGGGCTTGGAAAGAAAATTCCACTTAGAATACCAAATATACAGGCCCTGAGAGGAGAATGAGTTTGAAGCGTTCAATGGGAAGAAAGGAAGCCAGAGAGCTTGGAGAATAATAAACAAAAGGTTACAATGTCTGTTATTTGGCTGATGGATACCCTAGAAGACCTGACTTGACCACTATGCAATTTGAGTGAGTTCTCAGGAGATCTGATGGTTTTATAAGCATCTGGCATTTCCCCAGCTGGCACTCATTCCATCCTCCTGCCCTGGTGCCTGCTTCTCCTTTGCCTTCCACTAGGATTGTAAGTTTCCTGAGGCTTCACCAGCAATGTGGAACTGTGAGTCAATTAAACCTCTTTCCTTTATAAATCACCCAGTCTTGGGTATTTCTTCATAGCAGTGTGAGAATGGACTATATATAGTAAATTAGTGTGAGGTAGTGGAGCACTGCTATAAAGATACCCGAAAATGTAGAGGTGACTTTGGAACTGGATAACAGGCAAAGATTGGAACAGTTTGGAGGGCTCAGAAGAAGACAGGAAGATGTGGGAAAGTTTGGAAATTTCTAGAGTCTTGTTGAATGGCTTTGACCAAAATGCTGAAAGTGATGTGAACAATAAAGTCCGGGCTAAGGTGGTTTCAGATGGAGATGAGGAACTTGCTGGGGACTGGAGTAAAGGTCACTCTTGCTATGCTTTAGCAAAGAGACTGGTGGCATTTTTTCCCTGCCCTAGAGATCTGTGGAACTTTGAACTTGAGAGAGATGATTTAGGGTATCTGGTGGAAGGAATGTCTAAGTGGCAAAACATTCAAGAGAAGGCAGAGTATAAAAATTTGGAAAATTTGCAATCTGACAATGGGGTAGAAAAGAAAAACCCATTTTCTGGGGAGAAACTTAAGCCTGCTGCAGAAATTTGCATAACTAGTGAGGAGTGGAATGTTGATCACTGAGACAATGGAGAAAATGTCTCCAGGGCGGGTCAGAGGCCTCCACAGCATCCTCTCCAATCACAGGCCTGGGGCCTTGGGAGGGAAAAATGGTTTTGTGGGCCAGGCCTAGGGCCCTCCTGCTCTGTGCAGCCTCAGGACATGGTGACCTGCATCCAAGCTGCTTCAGCTCCAGCCATGGCTAAAAGGGGCCAAGGTACAGCTCAGGACATTGCTTCAGAGGGTGCAAGCCCTAAGGCTTGGTGGCTTCCATGTGGTGTTGAGTCTGTGGGTGCACAGAATTCAAGAACTGAGGTTTGGGAACTGCCACTTAGATTTCAGAGGATGTATAAAAATGTCTGGGTGTCCAGACAGAAGTTTGCTGCAGGGGTAGAGCCCTCCTGAAGAACCTCTGCTAGGGCAGTGAGAAAGAGAAATGTGAGGTTGTAGCCTCCACACACACTCCCCACTGGGGAACTGCCTAGTAGAAACAAAACTGTGAGAAGAGGGCCATGGTCTTCCAGACCCCAGAATGGTGGATCCACCGACAGCTTGCACTGTGCACCTGGAAAAGCCACAGACACTCAACGCCAGGCCATGAAAGCACCTAGGAGTGAGGTGTACTACAGGGGCAAAGCAACAGGGGTGGGGCTCCCCAGGGCTATGGGATCCTACCTCTTGCATCAGCATGCCCTGGATGTGAGACATGGAGCAAAAGATCATTTTGGAACTTTAAGGTTTAATGAGTACCCTGCTGGATTTTGGACTTGCATGGGCCTCTAGCCACTTCATTTTGGCCAATTTCTCCCATTTGGAATAAATGTATTTACACAATGCCAGTAGCTTCATTGTATCTAGGAAGTAACTACTTGTTTTTTATTGTATAGGCTCATATTTAGAAGGAATTTGCCTTGTCTCAGATGAGACTTTAAACTTGGACTTTTGGGTTAATGCTGGAATGAGTTAAGACTTTGGGTGACTGGGCATGGTGGCTCATGCCTATAATCCCAGCACTTGGAAGGCTGAGGCAAGTGGATCACTTAAGGTCAGGAGTTTGAGACAAGCCTGGCCAACATGGTGAAGTCCTGTCTCTACTAAAAATACAAAATTAGCCAGGCATGGTGGCATGTGCCTTTAATCCCAGCTATTCAGGAGGCTGAGGCAGGAGAATCACTTGAACCTGGGAGGTGGAGGTTGCAGTGAGCTGAAATTGTGCCACTGTACTCCAGCCTGGGTGACAGAGCGAGACTTCATCTCAAAATAAAAAATAAAAAAATTGAGTACATTCTATTCATTGAATTTTTGAAACCATCATAAAATAAGTTAAGTCTAGTTATCTGTCTTAGGGGATACCTGCTCATACATTTAATTTTCAAGTGGAAATTTTTAGGCATTACAGAATATCAGAATTGGAGGGAATCTCAGTGGTTCAAACTTTGTAAGTGTCGTCAGCCATCTTTGGAAGAGCATGGAGAGAAGAGGGACCTGCTAGAGCTTATCATAAATCTCAACAGTTCAGTTATAAACTAATTATCAGGTTGAACGGGGCTGCTCTGAGCAGCTGCCTGACAGCTACAGAACAGGTTGTGTTTATCTTCAAATTCTAATCAGGCACTTACTTCCTCCAATTTTGCCTCCTTCATTGTAGATAAGTGCTGTAACTCCCACAATGCAATATAGAATAATGCTTGATAACATTTTGTCAATTCCCTACTGGGAGCAAAAGGTCTGCAGTAACTAAGTTTGAAGCTGTGTGCTGTTTGTACAGACCTGCCTTAGTGAAGATAATTGAAAAATCAGGCACCCTCTGTGAGATTGTTTTTCGTTTTCTTATTTTTAACTTGTGACTTGAAATTGTTTTTGAGAATAATCATTTTGAGTTTAGTCTTTACTAGCACCTTTTAAATTATATCCTGTTATTTGTATGCATGTTCAATCAATAGGTATAATAAAGAGTTTTAGTATTTAAAGATGTACTATGGTGAATAAGGTAGAGGCAAAGGAACTGAAATTATAATATTTAATATAAGGTAGAATATGACAAAACTGGAACACTATGTATCACTTTGCATGGTGTTGAAAATTGGCAATTCATTTCAAAAGTCATAAATTTAAATCCATATCCAGCTCCACTCAGCACATTTGCTTCTGAGACTTTTCCCCAAGGAAATAACTGAGGCAAAAAACAAATAAAACTAAAGAAAAAAACAAACTACAACCCTGAGCATATTAACTGTAGGCTTTTATGAAGGATTTAGTTCTTGGTCCTACATTGTTCCAGTCATTTTGGACATAAAGGATAAAGTGAAAAGAACCCATTCCTGGTATTTCATTTTTCTGCTCGTATGACTGGGTGCCCTATATAGTATTTTTTGGAAGACATTTCCAATGATATTTTCTCCCTCTCAAAAAATGTATTCTCAACTGCTGTCTGATGCTCAATTTTTTTTTGAAATGCAAAAAGCCATTATTTTTTCAATAGTAATGTAGAAAATATACATTTCCATTAGCTGGAGAATACTGCAATAATATACCTGCCTGTTTGCCTTCCTCACTCCCTCTTTTTAAATTTCCTCAATCGCCTTTTTTTCCTTTTCCTCATATATATTGATCATTCTATTTGTAGTAAGCTTTATGATTATTACCAGGAATACATAGGTAAATAAAATAATTCTTCCTTTAAGAAGTTGAAAATGTAATGAAGAGGTGATATTAGTAAAAATGATAAAATAGAAACCTCTAGATAGTCAATCCTTCATAAAAGCAATTTTTAAAATATACAGCCAAAATAGGATTAGAATCAACTTCTTTCAGAACTCTAGAAATTAAGCAACGACTTGTACCAACTCAAGAACATGATTTAAGAAATGTATCTGAATTTCAGGAAGAATAGGGGGCTTTGTCACATTGTCATTTGTTCTAGTACTAATTACCACACTTAAACTCTATGGGAGCCTTGAGAAATGAGATCCCCCATTCCAAGTGCAGCCTGGAATACATTGAAGGGAACAGAATGGAGTTTGAATTATTTCAAAGCCTTATTTTCAAAGAATTGCCATTATTTGGCCTGTCTAATGGTCTCCTGGAATCCCCCATTTACAAAGCTTTCTATACATAACCTGACTCAAAGCTTGCTTAGTGTGAAAAGACTTCACTCAGGGGCATTTGTCAAAAAACCCAAAATTACAGAGAACCATTTTAATTGCTGGCTGCCTGAGGTAGTAAAGGGTAAATGGGGCAAACAATAAACTAACTACAAACTTACAAGAAGAAATTAGGGTAAAATATATCCATAAGGCTTCAAAAATCTCCCACATATCCTGGGAATCTAGAAGTTCACGGGCACATAGTCAGAAAAGACCTCAGGAGGACCTAAACTGAATTCTGGATGATTTTGAGGCTTCGTAGAAGCAAGAAGAGAAAACTAAGAAGGAATTGCTAACCACCTCACTGAATGCAGAAGGTGTGCCCTCAACACACATAAGAAGCCATTTAGCAAAGACTGAGATGCTTATTGTTTGCAGGCATTTGGTGAAATCTCTGTTTAGTCATTAGTGGAACAGTAAACTAACCAAGTAGAGACTTCAGTGACCACACATGACAGAGCATATAGACTTACAGAACTAGTTTACAGTAGTCACTAAACAACAAAAGTCACTACAATAAACAGCAAAAACAATAAATCTTGGAGTTGGGGGAAGCACCTAATTCCCAGAGTTGCCCAATTTGATTTTTTAAGTGTGTATTTTTTAAACAAAAAATTACAAAACATGCTAGGAAATATGAAAACATGGCTTATATACAGGAAAAAGCAGTGATTAAAATCTGTCCCTAAGGAATTCTAGACTTTAAACAGAGATAAAGACTTTAAATTACTTATTTTAAATGTGATTAAAGAACTAAAGGAAACTGTTTAAAGAACCAAAGAAAAGTAGAGAATGTTGTTTCAGTAGATAGAACACAACAGAAATATGGATTATTTAAAAATAACCAAATAGAAATTCTGGAGGTGAAAAGTCGAATAAATGAAATAAAACAAATTATTACAAAGACTCAACAGTAGATTTCAGCTGGCAGAAGAATCACATGAAATATCAATTGAAATTATCTAGTAAGAGACACAGAAAAAAAGAAGAAAAATGAATAGAATGTTAAAGACCTATATGACACCATAAAGCATGCAAACATACATATCATAGGAATCACAACAGGAAAGGAGACAGGAAGAGAGAGAGAAAAAAATTGACAAAGTAGTAGTCAAGATATTCACAAATTGATAGCAAAAAAAGTTAATACACACATTTAAGAATTTCAACAAACTTCAAATAGGATAAACACAATCCTAATCAAATTGTCAAAAGACTGGGAATTTTGAGTCCAACAAGAATGAAATGAATCATCATATATAAGGGATCCTCACTAAGGTTAATAGCTGACTTGCCATTTGAAACCATGGAGAACCAACAGCCAACTTCAGAAAATAAGCAAACAGAAAAAAAAAAAGCCTGTTAACCAATAATTCTACAGTCAGAAAAACTATCCTTCCAAATGAAAGCTAAAACAAAGAAAAACTGAGAGTATTAGTCAAATCAGCTCTATTAAATGATGTACTTTAGGCTTAATAGATTACTAAGCAATAATCATAAAAAATAGTAAGCACTGGTAAAGGTAAATGTAAAACACAATACAAATGCACTTTTGTTTTTAAGTCTTTCTTTTCCTCCTATTTAAAAGAAAATTGAATAAAGCAATCATTATAAATATGTTTATGCTTATAAATTGTATGTAAATATATTTATGACAATAACGGCATAAAGGAGAGAACAGAGCTATAAAGGAGTAAAGTTTATATATACACACACACTGTATACATATATATGTATGTATATATAACTGAAATTAAGTGATATTAATTTAAACCAATAGTTGTAAGAAAAGATGCTAATTGTAATAGCTAGGGAAACCATTAACAAATCCAAAATATATAGTTAATAAGGTAGTTAAAATATAATACTACAAAATATTTAACATAAAGGAGTCAGTAATGCAAGAACTGAAGAACAAAATAAGACAAAATACATGTAGAGAACAATGAACAAGATGACAGATATGAAACCTTAAATTATATATTAGTAGTATATTAAGTATTAATTATGAGTAATACATTAAGTGTTAAATGGATTAAATTCTCCAATTAAATGACAGAGATTGGCAGAATGGATTGAAAGAAAAAACATGATCCAACTATGTGCATGCTTTCTTAAAAGTCCACAGTTTAAATTTCAAATACACAAATAGGTTGAAATTATGTTAGAAAAAGGTATACGATGCAGCAGTAGGTAAAAGCAGTGATGAAAAAAAGAGCTAGAGTGGTTATACTAATACCAGAGAAAAAACAGGCTTTAGGATAAGATTGTTACTAGAGACAAGAAGAACATTTTATAATGACAAAAGTGTCAATCCATCAAGAAGATAAACAAATTCTAAGTATATATGTATTTAACAAGTGAACTCCAAAATACATGAGATGAAAACTGACAGAATGAAAGGTAAAAATAGAAAATTTAATAATAATATTTGAAGGTTTCATTACCCCACTTTCACTAATGTATACAGCAACAAGACAAGAGACCAGCAGGAGAATGTGACTTCACCACCAGATCTTACAGATCTCTATAGAACACTCCACCTAACAACAATAGTATACACATTTTTTTTGGAACATGGAACATTCTTTAGGATAGACTATATGCTAATCCACAGAAAAAGAACTTGAATAAATATTTAAAAATCGAAAAGCATGTTTTTTACCCTAGTAGATTGAAATGAGAAATTAATGAGAAGAAAGAAAAACACAAATATGAGTGCAGCCCTGCCTTATTTTATTGTGCTTCACTTTATTGTGCTTTACAGATATTATAATTTTTACAGATTCAAGGTTTGTAGCAACTCTGCGTCAAGCAAGTTGATTGGTACCATTATTCCAAGAGCATGTGCTCACTTCATGTCTCCGTATCATATTTTGGTAATTCTCACAACATTAAAAATTTTTTTTTGGATTATATTACTTATGGTGATCTGCAATCAGTGATCTCTGCTGTTACTATTGTAATTGTTTTAGGCTATCATGTACCATGCCTCATAATATAGCAAACTTAATTGATAAATGTTATGTGTGTTCTGACTGCTTCATCTACCAGCTGTTCTACAACTCTCTCCCTCTCTACAGACCTTCCCATTCCCTAAGACACAAGAATATTGAAGTTAGGCCAACCAATAGCACTAAAATGACCTCTAGGTGTTCAAATGAAAGGAAGACTTTCATGTCTATCATTTTAAAACCAAAGCTAGAAATGATTACACTTAGTTAGGAAGGCATGTCGAAAGCTGAGATAGGCCTTTTGCAACAAATAGCCAAGCTGTGAATGCAAACAAAATGTTCTCGAAGGAAATTAAAAGTGACACTCCAGTGAGCACGGGAATAAAAATAAAGCGAAACAACCTTATTGTTGATAAAGAGAAAGTTTTAGTGGTCTGGATAAAAGATCAAACTAGTCACAACATTTCCTTAAGCTAAAGCCTAATCCAGATCAAGGCCCTAACTATCTTTTATTCTATGAGGCTAAGAAGTAAGGAAGATGCAGAAAAATTACTGAAGCTAGCAGAGGTTGGGCCATGAAGTTTAAGGAAAAAAGCTATTTCCATGACATAAAAGTGCAGGATGAAGTGCAAGTGCTAATATAGAAGCTGAAGCAAGTTATGCAGAAAAGCTAGGTAATATAATTGATGAAGGTACCTATACTAAACAGATTCTCATTGTCGATCAAAGAACCTTCAATTAGAAGACATCATCTAGGACTTTCATTAGCTAGAGAGAAGTCAATGCGTGGCTTCAAAGCTTCAAAGTACAGGCTAACTTTCTCGTTAGGAGTTAATGTAGTTGGCGACATTAAATTGAAGCCAGTGCTCATTCACCATACTAAAAATCCTAGAGCCCTTAAAAATAATGTTAATTCTACTCTGCCTGTGACATATAAATGGAACAACCAAACCTGGAGGACAGCACATCTGTTGGAAGCATAGTTTACTGAATATTTTAAGCCTAGTATTGACATCTATTGCCTGGAAAGAAAGCATTCCTTTCAAAATATTACCATTTGACAATGTATCTGGTCACCCAAGAGCTCTGATAATGATGTTCAAGGAGATTAATGTTTTTGTTTTATTTTATTTTTATGCCTGCTGACACAACATTTATTTTGTAGCTCATGAATCAAAGAGTCATTTCAAATTCCAAGTCTTATTGTTTAAGAAATACATTTTGTAAGGCTATAGCTGCAATAGATAGTGATTCTTCAGATAGATATGAGTAAAGTAAATTGAAAACTTTTTTGACAGGGTTCAGCATTCGAAATGCCACTAAGAACATTTTTAATACATGAGAGGACGTAAAAATATCAATCTTAACAGGTCCTCAAAAGAATTTGATTCCAAAACTCATGGGTGACTAAGAGTAGTTCAAGTCTCAGTGGAGGAAGTAACTTCAGATGTGGTAAAAATAGCAAGAGAACTAGAATTAGAAGTGGAGCCCAAAGATAAGACTAAATTGCTGCAATCTCAGGATATAACTTTAATGGATGAGGAGTTGCTTTTAATGAATAAGCAAAGAACATCTTTTCCTGAGATGGACTCAACTCTTGAATTGAAAAAAACTGAAGAGATTTTTCACGTCCCTGGTTAGCTGTTTTCCTGGGTATATTATTCTTTTTGTGCCTATTGTGAATGAAACTGCATTATTGATTTGGCTTTCAGCTTGGATGTTGTTGTTGTATAGGAATGCTACTGATTTTTGTACATCAATTTTGTATCTAGAAACTCTGCTGTATTTGTTTTGTTTATTGGATCAAGGAGCTTTTGTGCAGAAAGTATGGGGTTTCCTAGGTACAAATTATGTTTTCTGCAAACAGGGTAGGCAAAGAAATCAGAGATGGAAACAAATGGAAAAACATTCCATGCTCATGGATAGGAAGAATCAATATTAAAATAGCCATGCTGTCCAAAGCAACTTACAAATTAAATGCTATTTCTATCAAACTGTCAATGACATTCTCCACAGAACTAGAAAAAAACTATTTTAAAATTCATAGAGAACTTAAAAAGATAGCCAAGGGAATCCTAAGCAAAAAGAACAGAGCTCGTAGCATCATATTACTCAACTCCAGACTATGCTACCAGTTTACAGTAACTAAAACAGCATGGCACTGTCACAAAAACAGACATATAGACCAATGGAACAGAATAGAGAGCCCAGAAATAATGCCACACGCATATAACCATCTAATAACTGTCAAAATTGACAAAAACAAGCACTGGGGAAAGAAATTTCTTTTAATAAATGGCTCTGGGATAACTGGCTAGCCATCTGCAGAACATTGAAACTGGACTCCTTCCTTACACCCTACACAAAAATAAACTCAAGATGAATTAAAGACTTAAATGTAAAACCTAAAACTATGAACACTCTGGAAGATAACCTGCAAAATACCATTATGTACCAAGGACCTGGCAAAGGTTTCATGATGAAGACACCAAAAGCAATTGCAACAAAACCAAAAATTGACACACAGGACTTAACTGAAGAGCTTCTGCATAGCAAAAGAAACTATCAACAGAGTAAACAGACAACCGACAGAATGGGAGAAAATATTTGCAAACTGTGCCATTGGCAAAGGTCTGATATCCAGAACCTATAATAAACTTAAACAAATTTACAAGCAAAACACAAAGAAGCCTATTATAAACTGGGCAGAAGACATAAACAGATACTTTTCAAAAGAATACATACACAAGGCCAATAAGTCTGTAAAGAATGCTCAACACCACTAATCATTAGAGAAATGCAAATCTCAACCATGAGATATCATCTCACTCCAGTTAAGATGGCTCACAGGAAGGGGAACATCACACACCGGGGCCTGTTGTGGGGTGGGGGCGGGGGGGAGGGATAGCATTAGGTGATATACCTAATGTTAAATGACGAGTTAATGGGTGCAGCACACCAACATGGCACATGTATACATATGTAACCTGCACGTTGTGCACATGTACCCTGAAACTTAAAGTATAATAAAAAAGAAAGAAAGAAAGAAAAAATAACAGATCCTGGCAAGGTTGCGGAGAACAGGGACCATTCAAACACTATTGGTGGAAACGTAAATTAGTTCAGCTATTGAGGAAAGCAGTTTGGTGACTTCTCAAAGAACTTAAAACAGAGTTACCATTCAACCCAGCAATCCCATGCTTGGGTAAATACCCAAAGGAAGATAAATCTATTACGAAACTACATGCACACATATGTTCATTACAGCACTATTCACAATGGCAAAGACACGCAATCAATCTATATGCCTGTCAACGTAGATTGGACAAAGAAAATGTGGCATATATACACCATGGAATATTATGCAGTCATAAAAAGAATGAGATCACGTCCTCTGTGGCAACGTGGATGGAGCTGGAGGCCATTATCCTAAGCAAACTAACACAGGAACAGAGAACCAAATACCACATATTCTCACTCACAAGGGGATGCTAAACAGTGAGTACACAAGAACATCAAGAAGGGAACAACAGACACCAGGCCTTCTTGAGGGTGGAGAGTTGCAGAAGGGTAAGAATAAAAAGAACTGACTATAGGGTACTATGCTGATAACCTGGGTGATGAAATAATTTGTACACCAAACCCCAGGACATGCAATTCACCTCTCTAGCAAACCTGCACATGTATCCCTGAACCTAAATAAAAGTGGAAAAAATACTGATGACACCCAAGTGTTGATAAGTACGTGGTGAAACTGAAGCTCTCACACACTGCTGATAGGAATATAAATATTGTACATGGAAAACAGCCTGGAAGTCCCGCAAATGATTAAACAAAGAGTTGCCATGTAACGTAGCAATTCTAAGATAACTGGTATATACCTAAGAGAAATGAAAACATGTTCACAAAAAAAGCTTGTACATGAATTTTCATAGCAACGTTATTCCTAATAGCCGAAAAGTGGAATCAACCTAAATTACAAATCTATCAATTGATAGATAGGTAAAAAAAATGTGGTATGTTCATGCAATGCAATACATAAATAGACAATCTGAATATGCCTATATTTATTAAATAAATGGAATCAATAACTTTCCAAAACAGAAGATACCAGGCTCATATAGGTTCATTGGTGAATTCTACCAAACATTTAAGTAAGAAATTATATGAATTCTCTACAGTATTTTTCAGCAGATTGAAGCAGATGAAATAGCAACTCATTCTCTGAATCTAGAATTACTGTAATACTGAAACTCAACAAAGACCTTACAAGAAAAAAAGCTACAGACCAATATATCTCATGAACATCGATGCAGAAATTCTCAACAAAACATTAGCAAATTGAATTCAACAATGTATAAAAAGAATTATACACACCAACCAAGAGGGATTTAGTTCAGGTATGTAATGCTGGTTTAACATTTGAAAATCAGTTAATGTCATCCATCACATTAATAGGCTAAAGAGGAAATATAACATAATATTATCAATAAATACAGAAAGAGCATTTGAAAATCTAATACCCATTCATGATAAAATTTGACAAAAGCCTCAGTAAACTAGTGGAGTGAAACTTCCTTAACTTGATAAAGAATATCTGCAAAAAACCTATAGCTAACACCATACATAATGATGAGAAAACTAGAAGCTTCCCCACTAAAATTAAAAATAAGACAAGGATATTTCCTCTCACCATGACTTTTCAACACCTTAATAGAATTCCTAGCTAATACAATAAGACAAGAAAAAGAAATAAAGGGTATACAAGTTGAAAAGGAAGAAACAAAACTCTTTGTTCACAGATGACAACATCATTTGCATAGAAAATCTGAAAGAATAAACAGAAAACCTTGAACTAATAAATGATTATAGCAAGGATGCAGGATACAAGACTGTAGAATACCACATACAAAAATCAATTGCTTATCTATATACCAGCAATGAACAAGTGGAATTTGAAGTTAAAACACAATACCATTTACATTAGTGTCCAAAATTGAAATACTTAGATATAAGTTTAACAAACCATGTACTAGATCTCTCTGTGGAAAACTACAAAACTGTAATTAAATAAATTAAAAAGAACTAAATACATGGAGATAAATATGTTGATTCACAGGAAAATTCAATATTGTGAAGATGTTAGTTTTTTTTTTCCAATTTGATCTATAAATTCCACATAATTCTTATCAAAATCTTGGCAAGTTACTTTGTGGATATTGACAAAGTAATGTCAAAATTTATATGGAGAGAAAAAAGCCCCAGAATAGCTAGCATAATATCAAAGGAGGAGAACAAAATTGTAGGACTGACACTACCTAACTTCAAAACATACTGTGAAGCTACAGTAATCATGATAGCATGATATTGGTAAAATAAGAGACAAATAGATCAATGGAACAGAACAGAAGCCCAAAAATAGACTCACATCAATATAGTCAATTGATCTTTGACAAAGAACTGAAGGTAATGCAATGGACCAAAGACAGTCTTTTCAACAAATGATGTTGAAACAATTGTACCTCCATATGAAAAATATAAAATAAATCTAGACACAGACCTTATACCCTTCCCAAAAATTACCTCAAAATTGATCATAGTATTGATCACAGTATTGATCATAGTATCAATCAAAACTATAAAATTCTTAGAAGTAACGTAGGGGAAAATATAGATGACCTTGGTTATGGTGATACCTTTTTAGATACAAGACCAAAGGTATAATCTATGAAATAAATAACAGATGCTGAACTTAATTAAAATGAAAAGCTGCTCCTATCTGGCAGACAATGTCAATAGAATGAGAAGAGAAGCCACAGACTGAGAAAATACTTGTGAAAGACACATCTGTTAAAGAACTGTCATTCAGAATATGCAATGAACTCTTAGAAGTCAACAATAAGAAACAAACAACTTGATTAAAACATGGGTCTGATAAATGAGGCGATGGATATTACAAATACTCTGATTTAATTATTACACATAATATGCATTTATCAAATATCACATAACCTCATATGTTTATACAATTATTATGTGTCAATAAAAAATGGGTCAAAGACCTTAACAGACACCTCACCAAAGAAGATACATAGGTGACGAATAAGCATATGAAAAGATGCTTCAGCTTGTATGTCATCAGGGAAATGCAAATTAAAACAACAATGAGATATCACTACACACATTTTAGATTGGCCAAAATCCAGAGCACTGGCTACACCAAACTTCAGCAAGGATGTGGAGCAACAGGAGCTCTCACTGATTGCTGGTGAGAATGGAAAATGCTACAACCACTTTGGAGGACAGTTGGGCAGTTTTCTTATAAAACTAATTATGCCCTTACCATAAAATCCAGCAATCCCTCTTCTTGGTATTTACCTAAAGGAGTTGAAAGCTTATGTTCACACAAAAATCTACACACAGGTGTTTACAGCAACTTAATTGATAATTGGAAAAGCTTTGAAGCAACCAAGATTTCCTTCAGTAGGTGAATAAATAAATAAAGTGCGGTACATCAAGACAATGGGATATTGTTCAGTGCGAAAGAAAATGAGCTCTCAAGCCATGAAAATACATGAGAGAGCCTAAAATACATTTGTATTATTAAGTGAAAAGGCCAATGTCAAAAGGGTACATACTATATGATTCCAAATAGATGACATTCTGGAAAAGGCAAAACTATGGATATAGTAAAAAGATCCAGAGTTGTCAAGTGTTGCAGGAGGCATGAATAGGTTGAGCACAGAGGATTTTTAGGCCAGTGAAAATACTCTGTGTGATATGATAACGACGGATACATATAATTACACATTTGTCCAAACCTACAGAATGTATAACACCAAGAATGAATCCTAATGTAAAGTATGGGCTTTGGGTTATTATGATGTGTCAGCGTGGGTTCATTGTTTGCAACAAATGTACCATTCTGGTAGGGAATGTGGATGATGGAGAAGGCTATGTATATGTGGGAATGGAAGTATATGGGAAATTTCTGCACCTTCCTCTCAATTTTTTTTTTTTTTTTTGAGACGGAGTCTCGCTGTCGCCCAGGCTGGAGTGCAGTGGCGCAATCTCGGCTTACTGCAGGCTCCGCCCCCTGGGGTTCACGCCATTCTCCTGCCTCAGCCTCCCGAGTAGCTGGGACTACAGGCGCCCGCCACCTCGCCCGGCTAATTTTTTGTATTTTTAGTAGAGACGGGGTTTCACCGTGTTAGCCAGGATGGTCTCGATCTCCTGACCTCGTGATCCGCCCGCCTCGGCCTCCCAAAGTGCTGGGATTACAGGCGTGACTCAATTTTGCTGTAAACCTAAAACTGCTTTAAGAAATCAAGTCTCTTAAAAGATGAAATTAAGAAAGCAATTTCCTTTACAATGTAAAATCATCATCAGATGTAATAAAACACTTAGGAACAAACTTAACAAAAGAAGTGCAAGCTTTGTACACTGAAAACTATAAACCAATGTTAAAAGCAATTTTAAAATGCCAGAATAAATGTAAAGACACCATGGTCATGGATTTCAGACATAATGTTTTTAAGAAGGCAATATGCCCGAATTGATTGATATGGTTAGGCTTTGTGTCCCCTCCTAAATCTCATCCTGAATTGTAACCCTTAAGTGTTTAGGGAGAGACCTGTTAGGAGGTGATTGCATCATGGGGGAGGTTTCCCCCATGCTGTTCTCTTGATAATGAGTGAGTTCTCACAAGATCTGATGGTTTTATAAGCATCTGGCATTTTCCCTGCTTGCACTTCCTTCTCCTGCTGCCATGTGAGGAAGGTCCTTGCTTCTCCTTCACCTTCCACCATGATTGTACATTGCCTAAGGACTCCCCAACCATGTGGAACTGTGAGTCAAAAAAGAGTTAAACCTCTTTTCTTTATAAATTACCCAGTTTTGGGCAGTATCTTTATAGCAGTGTGAGAACAGACTAATACATTAATCTTTAGATTCAATGCAATCTCTATCAAAACTCTGAATGTCTTTTTCTTTGGTGAAATCAACAAGCTTGCTTTGAAATTAATACAGAGAAGCAAACAAACCAAAATAAGCAATACAGTCTTGAAAAAGAAGTTGTAGGACTTACACTTCCTAATTTTCAGACTTGCTTGAAAGCTACAGTAATCAAGCAATGTGTTAATGGCATAAGAAAAGAGACATTGATCAATAGGATAGAATTGAGGATTCAGAAATAAATACTTAACTATAGTCAATTGATTTTTGATAAATATGCCAAGATAATTCAGTAGGGAAACAATAGTCTCTTCAACAAATTGTACTTGGATAAATGTATATTCACATATAAAAATGAATTTGGGCTCCTGTCTTATATTGTATGGACATTCTCTCTCCCTCTCCAAAAAGATTGTAGACCTCAATACAAGAAATAAAACTATAAATACCTAGTAGAAAATATAGAAGTAAATGTTTATGAACTTGGGTTAGGCAAAATCTTCTTAGATACAACAACAAAAGCATATGTGAAAAAGAAAGCATAGATAATTGAACTCCATAAAAATTAAAAAGTTTTATTCGTAAAAGAACACTATGAATAAAGTGAAAGATCACTCACAGAATAGAAAATAGTAGTTGCAAAAGGGCTTGTACCTAGAATCCATAAGGAACTCTTACTATTATGCAGTAATAAGAAGACAAATTACCCAATTAAAAATGAGCAAGGGACCTGAATAGAAGTTTCTGTAAAGAAAAACATACAAATTGTGAATAAGCACTTGAAAAGATGTTCAACATTGTTAGTCATTAGGGAAATGCAAACAAAAACCACAAGAAGACACCACTTTACACATACAAGAAAGGCTTTAAGAATAACAATAATAATATTAAACAGAAAATAATGGGTTGACATAGATTTGTAAAAATTAAAATCCTCATATATTGCCGGTAGGGATACAAAATTTTGCACCTTCAGTGGAAAACAGTTTGGCAGTTTCTCAAAATTTTAAACATCGAATTACCATATGACCAAGCAATTTCACTCCTAGCTGTATGCTCAAGAGAACTGAAATATTATGTACAAACAAACACTTGTACACAAATATTTATAGCAGCATTATTCATAATAGTCAAAAGTGAAAACAACCCACATGTCTATCAACTGGTAGATGGATAAACAAGAGCAGCAGGTGTGGAATGAAGTGGGCTGTGACTCCAGGAAGTGTGAGACGGGAGATAGGTAGGGTAAAAATGATCCCAGTGTGCTCAGGACTGAGATATTTCCTGGGCAAACCAGGACAAATAGGAGACCATATGCAAAAAAAATAGCAATTCTGACAGAGATTTAAAGGAAGACAAAGTAGAAGACAGTGAAGAAACACTGAGGACATCAGCCTGTTATTATCCCCCTACTTACTAAACAGGAGCTAGGGTGCATGAAGACTCCTGCCTTGACCACGATTGAGCCCCATGGTAAAGTCTAGGTCAAAGGAAAAGAAAAACTTTCTGAGTTAATTGCTTGTGAATATAAATTCTTTACATTCCTTCACAATCCCCTTTCCACTGTCAAGACCATGAGAGGCCATACCTACTCAGAAAGGTACCTGCCAAAAGAGAGGATGACATTGAATGCCAGATGCATAGTGAGATCTGTGACTCTTACAAGGCAGAGTAGGAGACACTTGCCATGGTCCCATCTTGTGCAGAGAAGCTAAATATCTACAACTACATTTGGAAGAAATGCTTGGGACATAAATGATTCCACAGTAAATCAGGAAGTAGAACTTCGTTTATTAGTAAACATTCCATGCGGGCCTTCTGTGTGCCACACTTTATCAGCGACTCCAATCATTGTGCCTACCCGAAATCCCTTGTGACAACACTTCTGCCCACAGACTCCATTGAAACCTTGTGCTGGGTGTCCATGCTTCTTACCACTTGACACTTCCTCCCTTCCCACTCAAATAACACTGAAGTGAATATGTGAGCCAGGGTAGTTATTTGACCCAAGACCAGTGAGTCCATGGTCTGGAGGTGAATCTTTGTGCAGTGACCTCATTCACAAACATGAGCTGCATAAACCTGATTTTCTGTTTCAGGAGTTTGAACTTGGAAGCACCAGCAGAATTAGCCAAATAGCCCAGGAAAAAGTGAGGCCAGAGAGATCATGATGGGTTAAAAAAAAATAAGGACACTTTGCACTAAATCCATTAAGGCCATGGAACTTTTGCTAGTCTTTTCCTACGTGATTGTATAGGAATGGAATAAAAATTAGTTCTGAATTGGTGTTTACTCTGTCCCACTCATTTGGCTTCATGTAATCTTCAACCTTGTAAAGTTGATATAAGAAATGTATGAAGAACCTCAAGTTCATAGAAGTTATTAACTTTGTCAGAGTCACATAGAGTAAAAACTTGACTCTAATTTGTTTGGTTAAAGAAGCTGATTTTCAGTAGCATGCATTCATTGCCTCCCAGGAAAACATAGAATAAAATAATATTGTGGGTGAAATGGCACTTAGAAAATACTATAATTCTTTTAAGTCAATAGAACAATTTGTTCTATTCTTTTGAAGAAAACTTGAACTTCAGTAAGTCTTTATGCTTTTCTAATTCACACTAATTGGGGAAAAGGCTGGTTATAATTCCTGAAAATAGAAATGTTTTTCTATTTTTATACAAATAAAGTTTTGTTACTTTTAACACGAAGTAGCTGGAACTAGTGTAGTCAGTGTCTTCGGGGGATCTGCTTTAGTGATTGAATAGGATAGCATGTGAATGCACTAAAAAATGGTCCTGCATGCATGTAACCAACAACCATATGAAAAAATGCTCATCATCACTAATCATTAGAGAAGTGCAAATCAAAACCACAATGAGATACCATCTCATACCAGTCAGAATGGCAATTATTAAAAAATCAAAAAATAACAGATGCTGGCAAGGTTGTAGACAAAAGGGAATGCTTATACACTGCTGGTGGAAATGTAAATTAGTTAAGCCACTGCGGAAAGCAATTTGGAGATTTCTCAAAGAATTTAAAACAGAATGATCATTCCACCCAGCAATTCTGTTATTGGGTATATACACAAAGAAAAACAAATAATTCACTGCAAAGAGGCATGCACTCATATGTTCATCGCAGCACTATTCACAGTAACAAAGACATGGAATAAACCTAGGTGCTCATTAATGGTAGGTTGGATAAAGAAAATATAGTACATATACATCATGGAATATTATGCAGCCATAAAAAAGAATAAAAGAATATGATCACATCCTTTGCAACATCATAGATGGGGCTAGAGGTATTTATCCTAAGTAAATTGATGCAGGAACAGAAAGCCAAATACTCTATGTTCTCATAAGTGAGAGCTAAATATTGAGTACACCCAGACAGAAAGAAGTACAATAAACACTGGGGTCTACTTGAAGGTGGAGGGTGGGAGGAGGGTGAGGATCCAAAAACTACCTATGGGGTACTATGTCTGCTACCTGAGTGACAAAATAATCTGTACACCAAACTCCAAGGACATGGAATTTACCATGTAACAAACCTGCACATGTACTCCCTGAATCTAAAATAAAAGTTGGAAAGAAAATAAATAAATAAATAAAATTTAAAAATGGTCGTTGGTGCCAGTAACAGCTTACTTGATGAATTTACTAAGCAATACTACTAGTCATGGGTGGTGTACATATAAATGCCCTCCTGCTGCTGTTTGGATTTCAGGGTGTAGCATTAATGGGAGTTTTCTGGCTCACAATAATAACATCTAATGACTTTTAAGTATTTACTATGTGTCAGATACTATGCCAAGTATTTACATGTTTTTCTCTTTTTTTCCCCTTCATTTAATCTTCACAACAGCTTTATATGATAGGTGTTGCTATTTTCCCCATTTTACATATAAGAGAATTGTGGGTTGGAGAAGGTAACTGTTTCACATTCACAGAGCAATTAAGTAGCAGAGTTTTGATTGAAGTCTTTCCAAACCCAGAATCTGTATCCTCTATGCTTAACCACCAGTAGATATTTAAAAGTAATATAAACATTTTCCAAATTCTACTGATAACTGTCATTCCACCATTGTTTCCTAATAAGTCACTGGTTCCATCTCCCTAAACAGAGCACATTTACCAAAGGTCTAGGACACTGGGTCATTTGTCGTTTTTTATTTATTATTATTATTTTTTTGGTCCCAATTGCTACCATCTAGTTCATTTCTTTCTTGGAGAAAATCAACAGCCTCCTGGCTGATCTTGTCTTCAGTATCATCCTCTGCAATCCATTCATTCTACAGCATCCAGAGGAACTTTCAGCTGCCTAAAATCCCCCATGGGCTCCTTTTCTCTTCAGGATAAAAAATCTAAGCATTCTTTTGTGCAAGAGTCTTCATTGTCAGATTCCCTTCTGACTTAGCCAACAGCATCCATCCTCGTTCTCTGTCTTGTACTTGACATTTTAGCAAAACCTCTTAGGTTTACATGAACATCCTTCAGCACCGTATACTCAAGCTATTGCCTCTGCCTAGAAATCCATCTCCCCACATCCCCAAATTCTTACAAATTCTAAAGACAGCTCAACTGTCAGTTTTTTTTTTTACCTCATTGACTATATTAAATATACCTCTTCTCTGCTCATTTATTAACCTGTGCTACACAATCCCAGTCCTTCTTATAAGTAGGACAATTTTGTCCTTGCTCACTTATCTCTCCCATTGTAGGGTGTGTTATTTATTTACTTTTACCAACAATGTTCAATTCACTGCTTGGCACAGAGCAAGCTCTTAGTTTTGCTCAACTGGTATTGAACTGGACCAAAGAAGGTGCTGGCCACAGCATTTCACCATATACAGTACACAGATTTTTTTTTTGAGTACACAGATTTTTGAGAGATGGATCTCCATGTTTCTATATAGCTAGTATCTGTTTTGTTCCACACTATTGTTTCAAGAATTTCTTGAAGACAGTGGTGGTGTCTCCCTAAGACAAAGGGCAGGTCTGTTTCCTTATCAGCAAAATAAGGGGATGT
The DNA here is from genome assembly GCF_000001405.40 of Homo sapiens. Taxonomy (NCBI): domain Eukaryota; kingdom Metazoa; phylum Chordata; class Mammalia; order Primates; family Hominidae; genus Homo; species Homo sapiens. The sequence goes on along the minus strand of NC_000002.12, from coordinate 17,012,770 downwards.
TTGCTAGCAGTCCCTCATAAGACTGTGGTTTCCCAAGGTAAGGGTTCCTCAGCAGTGATGCAAACCTACTCTGTGCAGCACTCAGTTGGTTCCATTCAAATCAGCTCCTTGAAACTTGGGGAGCAAGGAGAACTGATGCAAACGTGAAGCTTGTGCTGCCTGCTGTGCAGTGAGCAATAAAAGTTCTTTATCTCTTACCCAGGAGTCTCATGTTTTCCGCCAATATCTAGGAAACTGTGGTAGACTCACTTGTTGGCTTTCAAGCAGGGTAAAATCTCAGATGCTTCACAGTTCTTGACAGGGTTGGCCCATGATGTGCCAAATAGAAAAATAACTCCCCTCTAGAGCCACAGACATTTAAGAGCTGCCAGGATATTATTCCAACTCCTTCGTTTTTATAGAGAGCCAGATAAATGAAGGAATTTTACCAAGGCTACACAGTTTATTAATTTCTGTGTGGAAGTCATACATACAGTGTCATGAAAAGAGAATGAACTCTGGAATAATTTCTGGTTACAATATTGTTACTTAACAGCTTCAGCTATTTATTCAACCTCTCAGAGCCATGGCTTACTTATCTATAAAATGAAGTTAATAGATTATGTCATAGGGTAGTTAGGAGAATAGAATCAAATGTGATAATGTAGGAAGCCACCTATGGGATGCACGGAACAAGCTAGGGGCTTAAGTCTCCTTTCCTTCCTTTGCAACAAGATTAAAACTCCATTCTGCTGAGGCCATCTGAGATTTCTGGCCCTTCTTTCCTGTTGAGACTTGAAGAGTTAGCACGCCTCCTTTTTCACTGGTTCCAGGTCTATCTACTCTCATTTCACTCATTCTTCAGGAGTACCAGCAGCAGGGACACTGACCAAGCACACATCACAGGGGCAGGGGGGTTACCTGAAATAGACTCTGGAGAGGAGACCAATATTTCTCCCTGCAAATGGTCCGGGTGAGACTGACTTCTGACTGAGCCTGTTTTCCTCAGCTTTTAAGATTCTGAGTCATATAATTTCTCTACATCCTTTGATATAATTGGGTTTAAAGAGATTTATTTGCCTAATGGGGTGTTAAATATGTTATGAACGTTGATAATTCACAGTATTTCATTGGCTAAAACTCAGTGTGAGTGGGGTTCATACCAAGCTCCAAATATGCCATTTCATTATATTTTTCTTTCTGCCTGCTCTGAATAAAAGGGTGATTCTTGTCAGCTCTGAGGCATGTCCTGCCATTTTCACCTAGCAAGAAATGTGGACTCAATGAATTTTGAAAGTAGTTTAGTTCTCCTAATGGTGGAGTTCATTATCAGTGTTCAAAATTAGAATGAGGTGGGTGCATATCACTGTGGTTCTCTTAAATCTCACAGCCTTAATAAAAGCCATGACTCCCCCACACTTCCAGACTGGGGAATCAACTGCCATTTGCTATAGGGTTTACCCCTTAGAAGGTACAACTTTTGTTGAAATTCTGGAAACAAACACCCAGGCTAAAATAGACTTTTCTGAGAAGGGTTGTGGAGTTTCTTCTTTCTGCTTTAGAAGGAATAATGACAAAAAAATGAAGCTCAACCAGTTGTTCATTTATTACCTTTTAAGTAGCAAGTCCAAGTAGCAAGTGCCCTTAACTGGCAAAAACATTTTAAGCTGGCCCAAGGGCCAATATGGGTTAATTGAGAAAACCTGTGGTCCATGCCCTGTGTTAGGCACTGAAGTGAAAAAGAGAAGTTTGAAACTCAATTCTTCCCGAACAGAAGCTTACAGCTAAGGTAATAGTAACACAAAATGGACATAATCAATTGCTTAACACTGTATAGGCGGCTTTGCTGCTTGCCAGTGATTCAGTCAGACTCTCCTCTAAAGGGAATCTGAAGAGGAGGGGGCGTTTCCTATGACTGGGGTGTTTAGGAAGGGCTTCAAAGAAGAAGTGCAAAGAATATGTTTTTCTAATTAAAGGCAAACAAATATACACTGTTTTTAACAGCTTTATTGATGTTTAATAGCTATACAAAAAAACTGTGTATGTTTAATGTATATAATTTAATGAGTTTGAACATATCCATGATACCATCATTATAATCAAGGTAATAAAAATGTCCATCATCCCTAAAAGTTTCCCTGTGTCTCCTTATTTTGTTTTTTGTAGTAAGAACACTTAATATAAGACCTCCCCTCTTAACAAATTTTAAGGGCACAATACCATGTTTTTAACTATAGGTATTATGTTGTGTGGAAGATCTCTAGAACTTATTCACCTTGCATAACTGAAACTTTATACACATTTAACAGCTCCCCATTTCTCCTTCGTCCTCCCCGGAAACCATCATTCCATTCTCTACTTCTATGAGTTTGACTTTACATCAGCAGAATCATGAAGTTTTTGCCATGTGACTGGTTTATTTCACTTAGCATAATGTTCTCCAGGTTCACATCTGTTATGATGGCTATTGTCAAAAATAAAAAGATAATAAGTGTTGGCAAGGATATGAAGAAATTAGAATTTCTGTTCACTGTTGGCAGGAATGTTAAATGGTGCAGGTTAGAAATCAATCAATATGGCCAACCTCATATAATTAAAAATAGAACTATTATATGATTCAGCAGAGCCATTTCTGAGTATATATTCAAAAGAATGAAATCAGGATCTCAAAGTGGTATCTGCACTTTCATGTTTATTGCAGCATTATTAACAACAAAAAGATAGAGAAACAATTCAAGTTTCCATTGACAGATAAATAGATAAAGAAAATAACATATGTTCATACAATGAAATATGATTTGGCTATAAAAAATTCTAGATACTATTTATTTTAGCATTTTTTACAATATCAACCACTGTGTATAGGACCATAGGAAGATGCCAGAGAATGTTAGCTTATTTAAATTGAATGAATTGAAACGATTTCACCTTTTTAAGATATATTAATGAAGAAATGTACAGATATAGCTTGGAGTTATTGTGGGTTTCTAGACTATACGATTAAGAGAATATCACAATAAAGTGTATCACACAAGTTTTTTTTTGGTTTCAAGAGCATTTAAAACTTATGTTTACACTATACCGTTGATTATTAAATGTGTAGCATTATGTCTAAAAGAACAATATCCTTTTTTTTTTTTGCGATGGAGTTTCACTCTTGCCCAGGCTGGAGTGCAGTGGTGTGATCTTGGCTCACTGTAACCTCTGCATCCCGGGTTCAAGCAATTCTCCTGCCTCAGCCTCCTGAGCAGCTGGGATTACAGGCACGTGCCACCACGGCCAGCTAATTTTTGTATTTTTAGTAGAGATGGGGTTTTGCTATGTTTTCCAGGCTGGTCTCTAACTCCTGACCTCAGGTGATCTGCCCACCTTGGCCTCCCAAAGTGCTGGAATTACAGGCATGAGCCACTGCACCCGGCCTCAAAGTACATAATTAAAAATATTTTATTACTAAAAAATGCTCTTAAAAATACTTCATTACTAAAAAGTCCTCTTGTTCATCTGAGCCTTCAGAGAATCATAATGTTTTTGCTGGGGGAGGATCTTGCCTTGATGTTTTTGGCTGCTGACTGAGCAGGGAGGTGGCTGCTAAAGGTTGAGCTGGCTGTGGCAGTTTCTCTTTTCTTTTTTTTTCTTTTTTTTCTTTCTTTTTTTTTTTTTAATAGGATCTTGATCTTTTACCCAGGCCAGAGTAAACACGGCTCATTGCAGCCTTGACATCCTGGGCTCAAGGAATCCTCCTGCCTCAGCCTCTCGAGTAGCTGGGACCTCAGGCACACACCACCACATTGACTAATCTTTTAGTTTTTGTAGAGACAGTATCTCGCTATGTTGCCCAGGTTGGCCTCTTTCCCCTCGGCTCAACTGATCCTCCTGCCTCAGCCTCCCTAAGTGCTGGAATTACAAGCATGCACCACCACTCCTGGTCAGCAAAGTTTGCTGCATTGATTGACTCTTCCTTTTACAAAAGATTTCTCTGTAGCTTGTGATGCTGTTTTATAGTATTTTACCCATAGTAGAATGTCTTTTGTAAATGAAGTCAATCCCCTCAAAACTTGCTGCTGCTTTATCAACTAAGTTTATATAATATTCTAAATCCTGGTGTCCTTTCAACAATGTTTACAGCATCTTTACCACGAGTAGGTTCCATTTCAAAAAAGCACTGTCTGCTTATTCACAAAAAGCAACTTCTCATGCATTCAAATTTCATCATGAAATTGCAATAATTTTGTCACTTCTTGCAGCTGAACTTCTAATTCTATTTATTTTGCTATGTTTACACATAGGCAGTTACTTCTTCAAGTGAGTCTTGAACCCCTCGAAGTCATTCATGAGGTTTGGAATCAACTTTTTTCCAAACTTCTGTTTGAGAAAAAGTTGATATTTTGACCTCCTCCTATGAATCATGAATGTTCTTAATGACATCTAGAATGGATAATTCTTTCCAGAAGATTTTCAGTTTACTTCTCCCAGAATCATTAGAGGTATCATTACCTATGGCAGCTATAGCCTTACAAAATATATTTCTTAAATTAGACTTGAAAGTTAAAATGACTCATTGACCCATGGGCTGCTGAATGGATGTTGTGTTAGCAGGCATGAAAACAACATTAATCTTACACATCTCCCTCAGACCTCTTGAGTAAAACAGGTGCATTGTCAATCAGCAGTAATATTTTGAAAGCAATCATTTTTTCTGAGCTTAAAACATCAGGCTTAAAATATTCAGTCAACCATGCTGCAAGTAGATGTGCTGTTGTCCAGGCTTGGTTCTTCCATCTGTAGAGCACAGGAAGAGTTGTTTTAGCATAACTCTTAAAGGCCATCGAATTTTCAGAATGGTAAGTGAACACTGACTTCAGCTTAAAGTCACTAGCTGCACTAAGCCCCAAAAAGAGGATCAGCCTTTTCTTTGAAGGTTTGAAACCAGGCATTGACTCCTCCTCTCTATCTATGGAAGTTTTAGATAAACACCTTCTATTCAAAGGCTGTTTTATCTATATTGAAAATGTGTTGTTTAATATAATCACTTTCTCTATCATCTTAGCAAGATTTTCTGGAAAACTTGCTACAGCTTTCTCCATCAGCTCTTGCTGCTTCATCTTGCACTTTAATATTAAGAATAAAGTTTTCCTTAAACCTCATGAACCAACCTCTGTTGGCTTCCCACTTTTCTTCTGCACCTTCCTACCTCTCTCAGTCTTCATATAATTGAAGAACGTTAGGGTCTTGCTCTGGATTAGGCTTTGACTTAACAGAATTTTATGGTTGGTTTGATCTTCATTCCAGACTGCTGAAACTTTCTCCATATCAGCAATAAGGCTGTTTTGCTTTCTTATCATTTGTGTGTTCACTGGGTTAGCACTTTAAATTTTCTTCAGGAAATTTTCCTCTGCATTCACAACCTCACTAACTGGCACAAGAAGCCTAGCTTTTGGCTTATTTCTACTTTTGACATGCTTTCCTCACTAAGCTTAATTACATGCACCTTTTGGCTTAAAGTGAAAGACATGTGACTCTTCCTTTCACCTGAACACTCAAAGACCATTATTGAGTTATTAAATGGCCTAATTTTAATACTTCTGTTTCTCAGGGAATAGGGGGCCCCAGGAGAGATAGAGACAGTTTGATGAACAGCCAGTCAGTGGAGCAGACAGAATACACACAACATAAATGTGTAATTTATAGAATTAAGTTTTCTTTCTTATATAGGCATGGTTTCTGGCACCTCAAATAAATTACAATAGTACCATCAAAGATTACTGACCACAGATCAGCATAGCAGATATAATAATAATAATAAATTAACATATTTCAAGAGTTACCAAAATGTGACACAAAGACATGAAGCGAGTACAGGCGGTTGGAAAAAAAATGTGCCAATAGATTTGCTTGATGCGGGGCTGCAACAAACGTGCAATTTGTAAAAAATGCAATATTGGCGAATTGTGATAAAATAAAGGTATGCCTGTATACTGTTCTTTATAAATGTGATTTAAAAAAATTCTTAAGATAAATTTCTAGGACCACAGAATCTAGGGCCTGAATTAAATATTTCCAGATTCCCCCAAACTCTACGTGAGAAATTTTAATTTCTATGCAGGTTGCCCCCACCTCCACTCCTGTACAAGTGGAAACCTCTGGCCATTTTACCATCCTATTATTTTTCTGTGGTTGTTTTGCTTTCACAAAACCCAGAAACCAGTGTCCTGCAGGAAGACAAAATGTCTATGACTTCCTGAAAGTTGTCTGTGAAGGTTGTAGCTTCAGAATATAAACTAGCCCAACTCCAAAGTCCTTAGTCAGACCCTATTTAGAAGAAAACTCTGAAATGAGTTGCAATTGGTTAAATGTTTCTGTTTACCCTAAATTCTTATGTTGAAATCCTTACCCTCAATGTGATAGTATTAGGAAGTTGGGCCTTTGGGAGGTGATTAGGTCAGAAGGATGGAGCCCTCATGAATGGGATTAGTGCCTTAATAAAAGGGACCCCAGAGAGCTCTCTGCCTATTTCTACCATGTGAGGATGTATGAGCATATAATAAGATAACAGTATTTTGTAACCCAGAAGAGGACCCTCACCAGAAACCAATAGTGCTGGCACCCCTGACCTCAGATGTTCGGCCTCCAGAACTGTGAGGAATAAATTTATGTTATTTATAAGCCCCTAAGTTTGTGGTACTTTGTTATAGGAGCCCAAATGTGCTGAGACAATGGTAAAGCTTCTTTGAGTTGCCTACAGACTCCACCATCCTCATCTCCATGCCATGGTGCTCAACTAAGTTTCTTCAGATTTTTTCCTCCTTGTTTATAAAATTATTCCACAGTCAAGGCTGAAAAATGAGAGTCCACAGATTGAAACCATTCTGCAAATTGTTCCTATTTGGGCTTTATACTGGGTTAAAGGCTTACAAACAAGCAATGGAGTAAATTATGAATATTTTAAAATCTGGGGATATCACTGAAAAATTAGAATTCAGAATTTCAAAAAAAGAATAAAATAAAATGGAATGTACTGTGACATTGGACTCACCTTCCTTCATAGTAACTGTTGGGCAGAGATTAATAGCAGCTACCTCCTTTGCATAAGACATGTGCTATCCCAATTTTCACAGACTTTTCTCATGTACTTGTAGTAAGGTTGGGTGTCAATTTTAATTTGTTGTAATGAAGAGCTGTTGTCTTCTTATAGTAGAATTCAGAGGAAAGTAATATAGTTCTTTTACTGGTACTTCAATTGAAGCTGAGAAAACAGCAAACACATATTTATCGAAAAGTGCCAGTCACTAGCACAAGTTGATGGGGCACAAAAGTGAACAAAAAGAAATATGCTGTAGAATTTATAGTCAAGTGGGGATTTATAGACAGCCAACATGTAAACCAATAAATAGTTGAGACAACTTGAGAGAACAAAAAAGTGCTATAAAGAAGATAAAGTAGAATAATGTATAGTGAACAGAAGAGAAAAAGTGAAAGTAATGATATGAGAGAGTCAGGCAGGGGACAGAAATATCAAGAAGTTGCTAGCTGGGACAGTTTGGATTATATTTCAAGTGCTGTGAGCAGTTATTGTGGAGTTGAAATCAAGAGCAAGGAGGCCAGATTTGTCCTTTGAAAGGTTCGTGTGGCTGCTATGAGGGAAAGGACTCTCAGGAAAAAAAATGGATAGCCAAATAGTCCAGGAAGGTATGTTGGAGGTTTAGGCTAGTCTTGCAGTAGGGGAGACGGTGAAAAATTGTCAGATTGAAGGCATGTTTTGGAAGTAGTGGCAACAAGGCTTACTGCCGGATTGAGTTTGGGGTATGCAAGAAAGAGAAAGTTGAAAATGATGTTTTGAGCTTGAGCAACTGAATGAGAGAGATGGGGAAGTGTAAAATGAAGAGCTTTGGAAGCAGGACTGGATGGATAAGGAAAAGCTGATTTGGGGAACAGTGGAGACATTGTCACTGTTTCAGCCACATTGAGGCAGAAAGAATTTATAAACATCAAAGTGTAAATGTAAAGAAGGAAGTGGGATGTCATAGCATGGAACTTAAAAAAGAGATTCGAGCAGGAAGAATTTAGTCCCTGGGACTGAATGAGATCATCTAGGGAAGGGTGTAAATATAGAAGAGAAAAGGCAGAAGTAAAGAAAATCTTTGAGTGTTACACCCATATTAAAAGCAGAAGAGGAATAAGATATATCAAAGGTGGTTGGAAAGAAAGACACTGGGATAAAAGGAAAACCAGTTTAGGACAATTGTACTAAAATATAGGTAAGAGAAGGTTGCAAAAAGGAGAGATCCATTATGTCATAACTACTGAGAGGTGAAACAAAGATGACTGAAAATTGAGTATCATCTTTGGAAATATTTAGCTTCTGTGAGATTAATAAGAGCTATTTCAGTGATAGGGAGGATTGAAAAGCCTAGATGTGGGTTGAGGAGCGAATGTGACAAGACAATGTGTAGTACATTACTTTGGAGGGCTTTGATGTTAAGAAGACCAGAGAAATGTGATTGTTTCTGGAGGGCAAATGAGATTTTCAGAAAGATGTTAGCATCTCATGGGAGTAATCCAGTGAGAGGAGTTTTATAATATAAAAGTTGAGATCTTAGAAAGTAAGATGGGATGGAATTAGAGATAAATGAAGAGTTTGGACTCAAATCAAAGCTTATTTGCTTCTTTTATTGTAATAGGAGATCAAAAATGTATGTCCAGATGCTGGTGGTTTGTTCAGCTGGTCTTGTGAGAATGAAGTAATCTTCATCTGAGTTTGTCTCTTCTCTTTCTTGCAATAAGCAACTGCAAATAAGGATGATTAGTTCTGAGAGCTTTTAATAGAGAAAAGGAGATGAGGAATAGTCATTTTGGAGAGTGGAGGAATGATTTTGATAGAGAAATGTGGTCATTTGAAATGTGTGGTCATAAATATGAAGAGTATTTCTGTGACTTAATCGTATAGCTGTGTGACTACAATTCAGTAACATTCAGAGGCTCGAGTGCAGAAGTGAAGGGAGTAGTAGTCAAATTAACCAGGACTGGGAATTAAAGGTGTTTATGATGGAGCAATTACAGTTCTGAGCCATGGAATCTGAGCTGTACTGAGGGAGTAAGGACATGTGGGAACTGAAAATACAAAGTCAGAAGGATTGGTGATTGAGGAATTACTCATGTGGGATCTATCGAGTCAACTGGAAGGATAGAGATAACATAACGGGTTGAAGAGAGAGATTTACATTTTATAGGTCACTTTGTCATACAAACTAACAACTGTAATTTATAATTTTATGTTCAAGGTGGCTAGACTATTCTGTCCAGATGTTTGGTCAGACACCTGTCTAGATGTTGCCATGAAGGTAATTTTTAAATGTGATTAACATCTAACTCAGTAGACTTTGAGTAAAGCAGATTACTCTCCTTAATGTGAGTGAGCCTCATAGTAGTATTGCTATCAGTGTTGAAGAGTTAACACAGATAGTGCTTAAAGTAGTGCCTGGATCATACAAAGTCCTTAATAAATATTGGATGCCGTGTGGCTGCCTGGCATGTTCTTCCCTCACTTCTCATCGAATGATTCAATTCATTCAAACTTCAACTCAAATACCACTCCCTGAGAGACCTCTATGCCAATTTTGTTCAGATATTGGCTACTTAAGTATTGCATGAGCCCTCTACAGTTCCAGTAGAAGGACTGTTTATTAAGCCAAGCCAGTTTTGATAATCTCATGCTTGCTAGGGATGAGTTTAGACTTGGTCATGGAATACCACCCAGGCGCATAACAGCTAGATGATTTAAGATGTTTCCTTCCTCTTAACAAAGGAAACAGGGAGGCCTGTGCCTTATTTTATTACAGTTAAGTGAGGACCCAATGCTTGGAACTGTGGACTATGGCAGCCATTGCACAGAACCTGACATTGTTTCATTTCAAGTCAACTAGCCTTGGAACTTCCTACCTGCCTACTTTATTATGTGAGATGATTGCTCTGCTTGAAACTATTTTAATTGAAATTTTCAATTTTTGTGGTTCCTGACTGATATACCTTCTATAGCTACTCTAGATAAATTAACCAAGCATCCCCCTACCACTTTCTTCTTCTCTTATAATTATCTGATATTATCACAATTGCTTGTTGAATGTTTTTTGTCAGTCTTTGCCTTTATTGGAATGACACTCCAAGAAAGCTGATATTAGCCTGCCCTCTATACTCCTGTGACCCTCCCAGGACTAAGATAATACCTGGCACATGCAAGAATGCATGCTGTTAAATTACAAAAAGAGGTGAAAAGGAGTTGGTAATTAGAAGTCTAGGCCCATTTCTGTACATGTTCATTTCACTCAATAAATCGATGACAATGGGTAAATTCCTTAACCCTTCAGTACCCAATACATCATGGTCATTAAACCTTCTCTCTAGCAAGGCTATAATGAGAGTTGGATAAAGATCACATATGAGAGAGCTTTATAAATGAAAGAGCAAAATATACATGTAAAAGGGTATTGCTTTTCCTTTATGAATAACACATTATTTTTATCTAAAATTACTTAGCACTATTATTAAAGCCATAAAAGCATGTCCCTTAAGAAAAACATTTAAATTTAACTTTCTGAATAGGTAATTGACATAAATCAGAAATGCTATGCCAGCATAGTGCTGCAGGATTTACTTTTCTGGAATATTAAATTTAGATTTTCTTACTTTTCTGGACCACTACAAAGAGGTTTTGCTTCCAATGTATCTTCTAAAACATGTTTAATTCCTTAGAGAAAAGTCAGATGTTACCAAAGACAGCAATAGATTAAAGAGAAAACATGTACTATTCACAGACCAACAGAAATCTACTTTTTAAAATCCCATCTCCAGCTCTTTCTCGTGTTTTCTGTTTTTAAAAATTCGAAACCAATCTTCATCAGGAAAATGGAACAGGGAGTACAGAGCACTTTTCTTAGCTTCTGCATTTATTCAGTAAATACACAGATCAGACTAACCCACATAATCCCAATGACATATTTATTTTTACCTGTGGCCCAGGGGATGACATTGTTCCTGATGAAATAGATTGCCATTTAAGCTCGACACAAGATAGTTTAGAGAGGGAGAAAATAGCATCCGATGTGTAGCTAATAAGTGAATCAATTAAACCTATTTAAGAACAAGCCCTAATGTAGTGTTTGATTCCAGGTATTTTAATTGGAGTGATTGCATAGCCAGGCAACCCTTTTATAAGGCTGTCATTGGTAAAAGAATATATTAAATGGCATACTTAAGAAGAAAGCTTTTTTTTTACTTTATCTATTAAAATTTTGCTAAATATTTCTTAGATACCAAGTACTAATGTTAAATATGGCAATACTTAAATATGACAATACTTGTTTATCCAAGTGTTTAATCTGAAACCTAGCTATGATTTCTTAAGGCACCTGTTTGGTCAAATTTTGTAATCTTTTTAAGACAAGGTCCTGCTCTGTTACCCAGGCTGGAGTACAGTGGCACAATCATAGCTCACTGCAGCCTCAAACTCCTGGGCTCAAGAGATCCTCTTGCCTCAGCCTCCCAGTAGCCAAGACTTACAGGTGCATGCCACCAATCCTGGCTAACTTTATTTATTTTTTTAATAGAGATGGAGTCTTGCTATATTGTCCTACAGATCTCCAACTCCTGTCCTCAAGTGACCCCTCAACTTTGGCCTCACAAAGCACTGGGATTACAGGCATGAGCCACCATGCCTGGCCATGCACCTTATTTAGAAGAGAGATCATGAAAAACGTGTTACATTATTCTTACTTTCTAAGTAGTTAAAATAAAAATAAGAGTTCTTCCAAAAAACAACTTTAGAGTGACATTATTTAATTCTCTGTCTTCTACTGTGAAGTAGAATGAGGTAGGTGTCTTAAGATATCTGTGGCATTTGTCGGAAAAAGTGACCAAAGTATAGGGCAAATCCAACCCTACAGAAAACGTCTGCTCAGAGATTCCAGATTGAACTCTGGAAAATACAGTGAATGGCAGCAGAAAGAAAATGAAAATCCTTTCTCATTATTAGCTGGGTCAATGCCCACATAAGCTCTCTGAGAAAAGTGTGCTGGCTTCCACCTTGCTTCAGGGCTTGAATCCAACTTTGTCATCCTCTTACTCCAGATGAAAGGAGGAAAGAGGAGAAAGAAGAAGCTGACCATGACCCAATTGGGGCCCTCATGTATGTGTGTGGCCACTGAAGGTACATTGGATCTGTGTACAAGTAAATGGGGCAAAATTAATACGCTAGTGTTTGAGCCACCTAATGAGAAACTCCTCATCTCTTGAGTGGTAGAGGAACCTAGTGTAAGGTAGGTAGACAAGCAGGAAGACAGGCAGTAGCTTTTTCTCTTCTACAGATACCACTGCTTTCATTGTGTAGATGAGAAAACAGAGACTCAGAATGGTCTCATTCTTTGCCCAGAGTTTCACAGCTGGTAAGAGGCAGAGCCAGATTTCAAAGTCAGATATGCATGATTCTAATTGTTTCCAAATGGCCCTGATTGTCTTTCCTCCCTTCACTGTGCTTTTCTCTCAAATTACTTTTCATTTGGCTTCTTAATTTGCAGCAATTAAGAAATGAAATATAACAGGTGGTGAAGACATCGCTAGAGGCATGCACACAGACAATGCCCAAAGGGACAGAAACGTCACACCTGAGTCATATGAATAATAGACAGCTTCCAGTGAATTTTTTTAAAAAATGGACCAAAGAAGTACACATACACAGACACATACATATACGTCACTACTTGGCATTTAATGTAGGGAAAAATTACTCCATATTCCTCAATAGCATCTAAGGTTATCCACCATATTACAACTCAAAATTATATTGATCGGCAAAAATATATTGGTCACGAAGAAAAATATTCAGTATATTTAAAAAGGCAGGAAAAGTTATAATATATTTTGTTAAGTATATTTCATGATATAGCAGTCCCTCAAAAATGAATGAAAATAAGAGGGTTTTATGGCCAGATGAGGTTTTGCAATACTGCATTCCATGTAAACTTTAGGCGATTTACACTGCATAATACTAGCATGTAAAATACCCCTATAATAAACACAACTTTTTATGTTGTTTTTGCATTGCTTAACCCTGCATTGCCCAAATTTACTTGACTTTGAAAACCTTTTTATCCACACTTATAATATAAGCCATGGAACTGAATTTCAACAGAATTCACTATGTAAAACAGAGATACAACATGTGGACATATTTAAATTAAAATGTGTGAAGTAAATTTTCCATCCCTGGCAGCTAAGACAGTGCTTGTGCCACCCTTCCTCCAAATCCAGGCTGCACAGCTCAGGGCTCCATAAAAGACCCCTTCCTTCCACTTACAGAGAGGAGAGGGAAGAGTAATGAATACTTTATTTTTCATCTTGGATACCAGCTCAGCTGCAGTAGGGTAGGGCACCAGTCAGAATCGTGAGGCCCCCTTCACAGGCCCTAGCTCCTGGGTGACATTTCTAGACACATCCTAGGCCAGAAGCAAACCTGCTGCCTTGAAGGGACAAACCCAGTCCTGGCAGGACCTATCACCTGCTGACTAAAGAGCCTTTGGGCTCTGAATAACCAGGAGTGATACACAGATAGTACACTATGGGCCTTGGGTGAAACTCAGCACATTCCTGGGGGTGGTGGCTATGGGGAAAGACTCCTGCTTGAGAAAAGTAGAGGGAAAAGTAAAGGGGACTTTGTCTTGTACCTTAAGTACCAGCTCAGTCACAGGAGGTAGAAAATCAAGTGGGCTCTTAGGGTCCCCAATTCCAGGCCGTGGCTCTTGGATGGCATTTCTGGACATGTCAAGGACCAGAGGGGAGCTGACTGCATTAAAGAGTGAGTCCCAGGCTGGGCAGCATTCACCATAAGCTGACTGAAGAGCCCATGGGCCTGTAGTCGTGGTGGCCACAGGGTGAAGCTCCACTGCCCATGGAAAGCGGAGAGAAGAGTGGGATGAACTGTGTCTCATGGTTCAAGTGCCAGCTCACTTTCAGTACAATAGAAAAACAGATAGACTTCTAAGGTTTTTGGCTGTAATTCCTAACTCCCAGATGGCACCTCTGGACCCACCCAGGCCCTGGGGGAACTTGCTGCCCTGAAGGGAGGAATACAGACCTGACTGGCTTTACCACCTGCTTACTGTAGAGCCCTGGGTCCTTGAGCAATCATAGGCAGTAACCAGATAGTGGTTACAGTGGGCATTGGGTGAGACCCAGTGCTGTGCTGGCATCTAGTCTGACTGAGAACAATCTAAATGATGGTGGCCACAGGAGTGCTTGCGTCACCCCACCCCCAGCTCCAGGCAGCTCAGAAGAGATAGATTTTTTTGTTGTTATTTAAAAGAAAGACTTCCTCTTTTCCTATTTGAATACACTTTATTTCTTTCTCTTTCCTGATTGCCCTGGCCAGAACTTCCAATACTATGTTGAATAGGAGTGGTGAGAGAGGGTATCTTTGTCTTGTGCTGGTTTTCAAAGGGAATGCTTTGAACTTTTGCCCATTCAGTATGATATTGGCTATGGGTTTATCAATAACAGCTCTTGTTATTTTGAGATATATTCCATCAATACCTAGTTTATAGAGAGTTTTTAACATGAAGGGATGTTGAATTTTATCAAAGGCCTTTTCTGCATCCATTGAGGTAATCATGTGGTTTTTGGGATTGGTTCTGTTTATGCAATGGATTATGTTTATTGATTTGCATATGTTGAACTACCCTTTTGTCTCTGTTTGCAAATGACATGATTGTATATTTAAAAAAGCCCATCGTCTCAGCCCCCAAACTCCTTGAGCTGGTAAGAAACTTCAGCAAAGTCTCAGGATACATGTGCAAAAATTGCAAGCATTACTATACACCAACAATAGACAAGCAGAGAGCTAAATCATGAGAGAACTACCATTTACAATTGTTACAAAGAGAATAAAATACGTAGGAATACCACTTACAAGGGACATGAAGGACTTCTTCAAAGAGAACTGCAAACCACTGCTCAAGGAAATAAGAGAGGATACAAACAAATGGAAAAACATACCATGCTCATGGATAGGAAAAATAAAATACCATACATTTTCATGGTATGGCCATGAAAATGGCCATACCGCCCAAAGTAATTTAAAGATTCAATGCTATTTCCATCAAGCTACCACTGGCTTTCTTCGCACAACTAGAAAAAAATACTTTAAAGTTCATATGGAACCAAAAAAGAGTCCATATAGCCAAGACAATCCTAAGCAAAAAGAACAAAGCTGGAGGCATCACGCTACCTGACTTCAAACTATACTACAAGGCTACAGTAACCAAAACAGCATGGTACTGGTACCAAAACAGACATATAGACCAATGGATTGGAACAGAGGCCTCAGAAATAACACCACACATCTACAACCATCTGATCTTTGACAAACCTGAGAAAAACAAGAAATGGAGAAAGGATTCCCTATTTAATAAATGGTGCTGGGAAAACTGGCTAGCCATATGCAGAAAAGAGAAACTGGACCCCTTCCTTACGCCTTATACAAAAATTAACTCAAGATGGATTAAAGACATAAGTGTAAAACCTAAAACCATAAAAACCCTAGAAGAAAACCTAGGCAATACCATTCAGGTCACAGGCATTAGCAAATACTTCATGACTAAAACACCAAAAGCAATTGCAACACAAGCCAGAATTGACAAATGGAATCTAATCAAACTAAAGAGCTTCCACTCAGCAAAAGAAACTTTCATCAGAGTGAACAGGCACCTACAGAATGAGAGAAAATTTTTGCAATCTTCCCATCTGATAAAGGGCTAATATCCAGAATCTATGAGGAACTTAAACAAATTTACAAGAAAAAAATAACCCCATCAAAAAGTGGGCAAAGGATATGAACAGACACTTCTCAAAAAATGACATTTATGCAGCCAACAAACATGAAAAAAAGCTCATCATCACTGATCATTAGAGAACTGCAAATCAAAACCACAATGAGATACCATCTCATGCCAGTCAGAATGGTGGTTATTAAAAAGTCAGGAAACAACAGATGCTGGTGGAGCTGTGGAGAAATAGGAACGCTTTTACACTGTTGGTTGGAGTGTAAATTAATTCAACTATTGTGGAAGACAGTGTGATGATTCCTTAAGGATCTAGAACCAGAAATACCATTTGACCCAGCAATCCCATTAGTGAGTATATACCCAAAGGATTATAAATCATTCTACTATAAAGACACATGCACATGTATGTTTAATGCAGCACTATTTGCAATAGCAAAAACTTGGATCCAACCCAAATGCCTGTCAATGATAGGCTAGATAAAGAAAATGTGGCATGTATACACCATGGAAACTATGCAGCCATAAAAAAGAATGAGTTCCTGTCCTTTGCAGGGACGTGGATGAAGCTGGCAGCCATCATCCTCAGCAAACTAACACAGGAGCAGAAAACCAGACACCACCTGTTCTCAATCATTGTTGAGAGTTGAACAATGAGACCACATGGACACAGGGAGGGGAACATCACACACCAGGGCCTGTCGGGAGGTGGGGGAAAAGCGAGGAGAGGGCATTAGGACAAATACCTAATGCATGTGGGGCTTAAAAACTAGATGACAGGTTGATAGGTGCAGCAAACCACCATGGCACATGTATACCTATGTAACAAACCTGGATGTTCTGCATATGTATCCATAACTGAAAGTAAAATTAAAAAAAAAAAAAAGAAAGAGACTAAGAGTCTCTGCCTGGAAATACAGAAAATCCTTCTGTATCTTATCCAAGACCATCAAAGTGATACTTCTAGAGTCTGTAAGAACCATAGTGTTACTGGACTTGGGGTGCCCCTAATACATATATAGCTTAGATCACAGTACCCAAGTCATTTTGAATATCTGGAAAACCTTCCCAAGGAGGACGGGTACAAACAAGTCCAGATTGTGAAGACTAAAATAAATACCTAACTCTTCAATGTCCAGACACCAAAGAACATCTGCTAGCATCAGTGTCATCCAGGAAAGATGATCTCATGAAATAAACTAAGTAAGGCACCACATTAGGGCCCAATCCTGGAGAAACAGAGTTATGTGACCTTTCAGGAAGATAATTCAAAATAGCTGTTTTAAGGAAACTCAAAGAAATTCAAGATAACACAGAAAATGAATTCAGAATTCTATCAAATAAATTTAACAAAGACATTAAAATAATCAAAAAGAATCAAGCAGAAATTCTGGAGTTGAAAAATTCAATTGACCTACTAAAGAATTCATCAGAGTATTTTAATAGCAGCATGGATCAAGCAGAAAAAAGAATTAGTGAGCTTGAAGACAGACTATTTGAAAATACACAGTCAGAGGAGACAAAAGAAAAATGAATAGAAAACAACAGAGCATGCCTACAAGATCTAGAAAATAGCCTCAAAAGGGCAAATCTAAAAGTTATTGGCTTTAAAGAGGATATAGAGAAAGAGACAGAGGTAAAAAGTTTATTCAAAAGGATAATAACAGAGAACTTCCGAATCTAGGAAAAGATACCAATATCTGAATACAAGAGGGTTATAGAACACCAAGCAAATTTAACTCCAAAAAGACTACCACAAGGCATTTAATAATCAAACTCCTAAAAGTTAAAGATGAAGAAAAGATCCTAAAAGCAGCAAGAGAAAAAGACAACAAAACATAAAAGGGAGCTTCAATACATCTGGCAGCGACTTTTCAGCGGAAACTTTACAGGCCAGAAGACAGTGGCATGACATATTTAAAGTGTTGAAGGAAAAAAACAAACTTTTACCCTAAAATTGTATATCTGGTGAAATTATTCTTCAAATATGAAAGAGAAATATAGACTTTCCCAAACAAAATCTAAGGGACTTTATCAATACCAGACTTGCCCTACAAGAAATGCTACAAACAGTACTTCAATCAGAAAGAAAAGGACATTAATGAGCAATAAAAAATAATCTGAAGGTATAAAATTCACTGATAATAGTCAGTACATAGAAAAACACATAATATTATAACACTGTAACTGTGGTATATTAACTACTATCATATTAAGTAGAAAGACTAAAAGATGAGCCAATTAAATGTAATAACTACAATACCTTTTCAAGACATAGTACAATAAGGTACAAACAGAAACAATAAAAAGTTGAAAAGCAGGGGGGATCAAGTTAAGGTGTAGAGTTTTTATTGTTTGTTTGTGAAAACAATGTTGTTATCAGCTTAAAATAATAGGTTATAATATTTGCAAGTCTCATGGAAACCTCAAATCACGAACTATACAGCAGATGCACAAAAAATAAACAGCAAGAAATTAAATTATACCACCAGAGAAAATCACCTTCAATAATAAGATAGAATATAAATGGACTAAACTCTCCAATCAAAAGATGTAGAGTGGCTGAATGGATATATATACACCCAACCCTGGAGCACCCAGATATATAAAGCAAATATTCTTAGAGCTAAAGAGAGAGATAGATTTCAATACAACAATAGCTGAAGACTTCAACACCCCACTTTAGCACTGGACAAAATCAAAGAAACATCAGACTTAATCTGTACTGTAGGCAAAATAAACCTAAGAGATATTAACAGAATATTTCATCCAATGGCTGCAGAGTACACATTCTTCTCCTCAGCAGCATATGGATCATTTTCAAGGATACACCATCTGTTAGATTATAAAACAAGTCTTAAAACATTAAAAAATGACATAATACAAAATGTCTTCTCTGATTACATTGGAATAAAACTAGAAATCAATAAGAAGAGGAATTTTGGAAACTATACAAACATATTGGAATCAAATAATATATTCCTGAATGATCAGTGGGGTCAATGAAGCAATTAAGAAGGAAAATGAAAAATTTCTTGAAACAGATGATAATGGAAACAACATACCAAAAGCTATTGGATACAGTACAAGTAGTACTAAGAGGAAAGTTTATAGCTGTAACTGGCTACATCAAAAAAGGAGAAAATCTTTAAATAAGCAACCTAACAAGCCATCCTAAAGAACTAGAAAAGCAGCAGCAAACCAAACCCAAAATTAGTAGAAAGAGAGGCAATAATAAGGATCAGAGCAGAAATAAATTGAAATGAAGAAAACAATACAATAGATCAATGAAACAAAAACTCTTTTTTGAAAGACAAGCAAAAATGACAAATCTTTAGCTAGAGTAATTAAGCAAAAAAGAGAGAAGATCCAAATAAATAAAATCAGAGATGAAAAAGGAGACATCACTACTGATACTGCAGAAGTTGAAAGGATCTTGAATGGCTAGGTTGAGCAACTATATGCCAATAAATTGGAAAATCTAGAAGAAATGGATAAATTACTAGACACATACAACTTACCAAGATTGAAGCCTGAAGAAATCCAAAACCTGAACAGACCAATATCAAAGATCAAGGCTGTAAAAAAATGTCTCCTAGCACAGAAAAGCCTGGGATCTGATGGCTTCACTGCTGAATGGTACCAAACCTTTCAAGAAGAACTAATACCAAACCTACTCAAGCTGTTCTAAAAAATAGAGGAGGAGGGAATACTTCTAAACTCATTCTACAAGGCCAGTATTACTCTGATACCAAAGCCAGACAAAGACACATCAATCAAATAAAACTATAGGCCAATATCCCTGATGAATATTGATGTAAAAATCATCAACAAAATACTAGCAAACCAAATTCAACAACATTAAAAAAGGTCGTTCATCATGACCAAGTGGCATTTATCTCAGGGATGCAAGTATGGCTCAATATATGCAAGTCAATTAATGTGATGTATCATATCAACAGAATGAAAGACAAAAACCATATCATCATTTCAATTGATGCTGAAAAAGATTTGATAAAATTCAACATCTTTTATGATAAAAAAAAAACCTCAGTGTGGTATAGAAGAAATATACCTCAACATAATAAAAGCCATATATGATGGACATATAACTCAAATAATACCAAATAGGGACAAACTGAAACTGAAGTCCTTCCCTCTAAGATTGGGAACACGACAAGGATCCCCACTTTCACCAGTATTATTCAACATGGTACTTAAAGTCCTACCTAGGGAAATAAGACAAGAGAAAGAAATAAAGGACATTCAAATTGGAAAGGAAGAAGTCAAATTATCCTTGCTTACAGATGATATGATCTTATATTTGAAAAAACCTAAAGACTCCACAAAAAAACTGTTGGAATAAGCAAATTCAGTAAAGTTGCAGGATATAAAACCAACATACAAAAATCAGTAGCATTTCTATATGTCAACAGAAAGCGATGTGAAAAAAAATAAAAAAAGTAATTCCATTTACAATAGCTACAAATAAAATACCTAGGAATTAACCAAAGAAGCAAAATGTGTCTACAATAGAAACTATAAAACACTAATGCAAGAAATTGAAGACACACAAAAAATGGAAATATATTTCATCCTCATGGATTGAAAGAATAAATATTGTTAAAATGTCCATACTCCCCAAAGCAATCTACAGGTTTAATGCAATCCCTATCCAAATACCAATGACATTCTTCACAGAAATAGAAAAAAAATATTAAAATTTATATGGAACCACAAAAGACCCAGAATAGCCAAAGCTATCCTAAGCAAAAAGAACAAAATTGGAGGAATCACATTACCTGACTTTATACTACAGAGCTATAGTAACCAAAATGGCATGATACTGACATAAAAAACAGACATATAGATCAGTGGAACAGAATAGAGAACCAAGCAATAAATCCATACAACTATTCATTTTTGAAAGTGAGCTCATTTTTGGCAAATCTTCCAAGAACATGCAGTGGAGGAAAGAACAATCTCTTCAATAAATAGTGCTGGGAAAACTGAATATCCATATACAAAAGAATGAAGCTAGACTTCTATTTCACTATATACAAAAATAAAATGGATTAGACTTAAGTCTAAGACCTCAAACTATGAAACTAGTAAAAGAAAACATTGGAGAAACTCTCCATGAAATTGCACCGGGCAAAAATTTCTTGAGTAATACCATATAAGCACAGGCAACCAAAGAAAAAATGGACAAATAGGAACACATCAAGTTAAACGGCTTCTGCACAGCAAAGGAAACAATCAACAAAGTGAAGAGACAAACCACAGAATGGGAGAAAATATTTGCAAACTACCCATCTGACAAGGGATTAATAACCAGAATATATAAGAAGATCAAACAACTCTATAGGAAAAAATCTAATCTGATTTAAAAATGGGTGAAATATCTGAATAGACATTTCTCGAAAGAAGACATACAAATGGCAACAGGCATATGAAAAAGTTCTCAACATCATTGATCATCAGAGAAATGCAAATCAAAACTACAAGGAGCTATCATCTCACCTCAGTTAAAATGGTTTTTATCTGAAAGACAGGCAATAACAAAAGCTGACAAGGATGTAGAGAAAAGGAAACCCTCATACACCATTAATAGGAATGTAAATTAGTACAATCACAATGGAGGACATTTTGGAGGTTCCTCAAAACACTATAAAAAGAGCTACCATACGATCCAACAATCTGACTCCAAGTATATACCCAAAAGAAAGGAAATCGGTATACTGAAGAGATATCTGCATTCCCATGTTTATTGCAGTACTATTCACAATAGCCAAGATTTGGAAGCAACCTAAGTTTCCATCAACAGATGAAAAGATAAAGAAAATGTGGTACATATACACAATGAAGTACTTTTCAGCCATAAAAAAGAATGTGATCTCATCATTTGCAACAACGTAGATAGAACTGGAGGTCATTATGTTTAGGGAAATAAGCCAGGCACAGAAAGACAAATGTCACATGCTCTCACTTATTTGTGGGAGCTAAAAATTAAAATAATTGAACTCATGGAAATAAAGAGTAGAAGGACAGTTACCAGAGGCTGGGAAGGGTTGCTGGCGGGTGGGGATTTGGTGGGGTGGAGATAAGTGGGAATGGTTAATGGGCACAAAAATGATAGTTAGAAAGAATAAATAAGACTTAGTATTTGCTAGCACACAAGGTGACTACAGTCAAAAATACTTTTCTTTTTTTTTTACATGGAGTCTCACCCATTCACCCAGGTTGGAGTGCAATGGCGCAATGTCGGTTCACTGCAATCTCCACCCCCTGGGTTCAAACGATTCTCCTACCTCAGCCTCTGGAGTAGCTGGGATTACAGGTGCCCGCCACCATGCCCAGCTAATTTTTGTATTTTTAGTACAGAGGGGGTTTCACCATGTTGGCCAGGCTGGTCTCAAACTCCTGACCTCGTGATCTGCCCATCTAGGCCTCCCAAAGTGCTGGGATTACAGGCATGAGCCACCGCACCTGGAACAAAAATACTTTAATTGTACGTTTTTAAACTAAGAGTATAATTGGATTGTTTGTAACACAGAGGATAAATGCCTATTTACTCTGATGTGATGATTATGCATTGCATGCCTGTATCAAAATATCTCATGTAACCCATAAATATATACACCTACTATGTACCCACAGACACACAAAAAAGTCATGGGACCTAATGGGGTAAATTCTACTCCCTAGATGACTTGGTTCATTTAGTGAATAAACAGAGCTTTACTTTATCATCCTACATGATTGTCAGAACAATTCAAATATTTTTAAGATGAAGTGATTGTTTTGGGTCTATAGGTTGAATTGATCTGTTTACTAATAATCCTACAATCAAGTACAAGATTTTAGAAAATTCTAGTGCTTTTACTTATCAAGATAACCAAATCTGATCAATGATTAAAATACAATTGATTTTTCAGTAATTGATCCGGAGCCTCATAAACTTGACCTTAGATTATCTAAAACCTGCTTCCTCAGACAGAATACTTTTTACCTCTTCAAATTATTATTTTTTAAAATTGAGTCAATCACAGGAAAAGGCACATTTCTTCTTAGGCTAGTTTAAAATAAGACCTGCAACTATTTTACCATCTCACTTTCTATTTCAGGAGGAAAATAGACAAAAGGAACACAAATTATGATGAACAATAACATTGATCACTTCTTGCATCTTGTATTTTCTCATTCACTCCCAGATAAAATTCTTATAGGAACCATCTTTATTATACATGTCTGTCTGTTCTTTCTTTTAAAATATGTATGTTTAGCCTAGGTGCTCTGACCTCCCCTCAGACATAGGAGGACTGACTGACTTGCCTGATGTAGTAATTATTGTGCCAAAAGAAGAAAAGAAAAAAAAAAGAACGTTAAGTCCAAACCACAGTGAACTTCAATCAGAAAATAGACACTATTTTCTGCATTTTAAACCAATTCCACATCAGGAAATCTAACAGGCCATCACAAGCTCAGCAATCAAGGGGCAGGTACCTTTTTGTTAGACAGATTCACCCCTCTTTGTTGTGAATGGATGCAATGAAGCATTTAAAATTGCCAAATGACAAGACAGAGAATACTTGAAGTCTTTTTTAGTTCTCTCTACAGCAAATCAACAGACTATGTCCTCCTCTCCTACATCCTTCATGACAAACAGCATTTTTATATAAAAGACAGATAAATGAATACATGAATGCTGTATGGTGCAGTACACATAGTTACCTGCTGGCTATTTTGGGACTAGGGAGAAATCAAATAGTCAGGGTATGAGTAGTCCTTAAAACTCCTAAGGGTTTTGAAATTGTAACTATTGTTTTATGTCTGATAGCAGAAGATCTCAGTGATTCTTCATTGTTACCAAATGGCAATAACCCCTGAATAAACCCATGAAAGAACTACCAAGCCCCTTGTGACTGGAACTTTTTCTCCTACAGGACATTAAAGCCTGGTGGGGAGTCCTACCTTTGGTCTCAGGGACGCAGATGACATTGTGCATAGGCTGGAGTTAGAGCCCGTCAGAAACTTGCCGATGTACTTGTTCCTGCCACACCTTATCTCAGGACTGAATTCTTTTCTTCTTTTTCTATGTCCTACTTTAGATGAATTTTCTAGGGCACCTCAGCTGTCTCTCTGACACCTCCACCACTCTGCATTTCTAAAATTGTCACTGGTCTGTTACCTGGGGGTCCTTTGATTCTTCATCCCTGGCCCAGAGCTTGGAAAAATCTGATATAGTATATGGTTAGATCTGATATACTTCCCCAGGGCCTGCAATTCTGTGCCTATGATTTGTGAACATCTTCCTCCTCCAGTATGACACTGAATTGATGGTGCACTGTATGGTGTCCCAACCTCCTGAAACAAGCCAGTGCAGAGAGCCAGGGGAGGAGGACAGAGAGAGTAAGACTGGGATTGGGCACTGAATACAGAGATCAGATCATGGTACAGGAAAGCAAACTTTTCAGGTACCATGTTCAAAGGGAGGTGTGAGAGGGGGTAAAATCCTGAGATCAGCAGCTGAGAGGGGGTCACAGCCAAATAGATGTAGGCTATGATTAAACTAAGGGAGTGTTGGGGAATTATAAAAGAATGGTCCTGATGTACTGAGATTTATTGGCCAGTTGAAACACATACTTGCACAATGGACTGGTTTTAAGATATAATGCCCATAGTATACATAGTATACATAGTATAAATGATTAAAAGACAAGGATGGTATTCTGGGAAGCCATGAAAAGGTGATATAGCACAGGAAAGTTAATAATCTGAAGAACTCAGGATGAAGAATGACCCAGAAAATACCTTTTCCCTAGGACCTGAGCATCTAGATGGAATGTCAGCAAGTGTACAAGTTGTTTCAATACTGTGGGATAAACCCTACACTAGAAATCAAAGTCAAGTATCTGAGAGAACACAACTAAGTGGGTGAAAGGACCTCAGAAGATCTCAGAAAGGAGGCAATAATTAGGGTGGATGTTTGAGCAGAGATTGAGGCTCACAAGGGGTATAAAAGAAGGAAGGCACTACTGGCTGAGGCATTAGTATGCCAAGAACAGAGATGTGCAAGATATGGTCAAGGAATGACAGAATTTGGTCTGACAAGAATTAATAGTTCAGCATGTTTGCAATGACAGAAAAAGTGGAAATCATACAATTATCCATTAATAGTAAATGGGAAATGTTTTGTAGTATTAAAATAATAAAATATTCAATAATTGAAACACTTCTAGGATGCCAGAGTGAAGACCTGTAAAAATCTGCTCCTGTATAAAAGCAACTAGAATATTGACCCCAAAATGCCAATATCGTCTTTGTCATTATTCTGTAAACAAACTAAAAGCTGCCATTAATCCAAAAAGTGTTTATCCAAGAAAAACAACTGGATCTCCATAAGTATAGTGAGCTTTCTGGTGATTCAACTTATCCTATTCCTACCATGCCACGACTTCTTCAGCTCTGTGGTAGCCTTAAAAACCAACAACCTCAAAACTTCAATAGCTGTGAAAAACAGCAGCATGTCAGCCACTGAAACGGACAGAACAGAACCTGAAAGCCAGATCCCCAGAGGATGGTCACTTCTTGGCCAGAAAAATATCTCCCTAATAAATCTCCATTCTCAAGCCATGTCTTTATTTGCTCTGTGAAAATAGTTGCATTCCTAGGGTATTTATTGAAAACAATAAATGTTAATAAACATGTATTATTAATAAACTGTTAATAAACAGTGGGGACCAACAAGAGGCTAACCAAAAAACTTAAAGGAAAAAGTAGGGAATGAGATGTCCATAGGGGGTGTTGAAAAGCTCTGCTATTCCTGGGAATATTAGGCATTCCTGAGAATATCAGATTCCATGGAATCTAGAAATATATGTATATGTAAAGGACTGTGTACTTGCCTAGAAACAACACAAAATGGCCTTTATCTCTCACTTCTTGTTGACCTGGAAGATTTGCAGAAGCAGGAAATGAAGGCTAAAGCAGAGTTAGAAACTGCTTGCTGAAGCTTTGAAGATATGTCCCAACACACACAGAGCCTTTAGGAAAAGACTGTTAGATTTATTGGCCAAAGAAATATAAGGAAATCTCTGCCCAATTATTAGCTGCCCACTAAGCTGAGCGAAGACTTCAGTTGTCACATCCATCAAACAATATAGACACTAAACACAGCAACAACAGAAACAACAACAACAACAACAAAAAACAAATAAATAAAAACAAACATTCTAGAGGGAAGGAGATGTCTGATTTACAGAGTGGCTACATTATATTTTTAAATGTCCAAATTTTTAACAAAATTTACATTATAAGACATTCAAAAATAGGAGCTGGTAACGGTGGCTCACACCTGCAATCCCAGAACTTTGGGAGGCTGAGGTGGGCAGATCACTTGAGGTCAGGAGTTTGAGACCAGTCTGGCCAACATGGTGAAACCCCGTCTCTACTAAAAATGCAAAAATTAGCCAGGCGTGGTGACAAGCGCCTGTAATTCCAGCTACTCAGGAGGCTGAGGCACAAGAATCACTTGAACCCTGGAGGTGGAGGTTGCAGTGAGCCGAGATCACGCCACTGCACTCCAGCCTGGGCAACAGAATGAGACTCTTGTCTCTAAATAAATAAATAAATGGAATATAAATAAATAAATGGAATATGCGACCCATGTACAAGAAAAAAATTCACACAAATCTGTCCCTGAGGTAACCTAGATGTTGGGCTTAGTAGATAAAAGATTAATTCATGTAATATAAATATATTCAAATAACTAAAATAAAGCATGCCAGAGAACTAAAAAAAAAGTATGAGTTCAATATCTTACCAAATAAAGAATATCATGGAAGAGATAGAAATTATAAAATAAGATGTAATAGAAGTTATCTATTTGAAGAATATAATTACTGAAACAAAAATTTAGAGAGCTCAACAGCAAATTTGACCAGAAGGGGGATAAAAAAGAGAACTTGGAGATAGTTTAATTGAGATTTTCCACTCTGAGGAACAGAAAGAAATAAAAAATGAAGAGTGAATGGAAACTTACGGAACACCATCAAGCATACCAACATACACTTAATGGGAGTCCCAGAAGGAGAAAAGAAAGAAATATGAAGAGAAATAATGAAGAAATAATATCCAGAATCTTTCATATGTATTTATGAAATGTGGAAAGTTTCTGGCATATGTGTGTGTATTCATATGATACATATATATATACATAAAATCTATATCTATATCTATATTCTCTGCATGTGCAAGAGACTCAACAAACTCCAAGTAGGATAAATTCAAAAATAGTCACAGTAGACATATCACAAATCATTGCCAAACTGCCAAACACATAATATAAAGAGAAAACCGGGAAAACAGCAAGACAAAAATGATTCATAATGTGAAAGTGCTCTTCAGTGGGATTAATAGCTTACTTCTCATCAGAAACCATAAAGTCCAGAAGGCAGTGTGACTACATAGTCAAAGTGCTGAAAGAAAAAGTATACTGACCAAAAATTCTATATAAAGAAGAACTATTTCTCAAGATTAAAGACAGTATCAGTTTGACAAAATCTAAGAGAACTGATTGCAAGCGGAGCTGTCCCACAGAAATAAGGAGTCTTTCAGACTGAAGGAAGGTATCAGACAGAAACTCCAATCCACATCAAGAAATAAAGATAAATGGTAAAGTAGCTACATAAGTAAATGTATTTTTTTAAAAAAGTACAAATAGATTTCTTTTGCTATTGGATTTAAAATAAATTTGAATAAAGCAATAATTATAAAATAACATTGATGTGATTATAAAGATATAATATGTATGAAACAATAGCACAAAGAAGGGGAGAGGAAATGAAGCTATATCAAAGTAAAAGTTTTGTATAATTTTGAAATATAGTTTGTTTTAACCAAATTGTTTTAAAGATATTAGTTTTAATCTTCAAAAAAAGCACTAAGAAATAACTATAAAAATATAGTAAAATGGTATACTCTAAAATATCTAACACAAAAACAGGTAGTAATGGAGAAACAGAAAAACAAAAAAGAAATAAAATATGAAGAAAATGAATAGGAAAATGGCAAGTATATATCTTACCTTATCAATAATATATGTAGACAAAATAGATTTTAAATCAAAATATGTTACTAGAGATGAATAGAAACCTTTTTATTTTATAATAATAAAAGGTCAATAAATTAGGAAGACATAACAATTTTAAACACACATGCACACAAACACACACACACACACACACAAATCTCCAATAAGAAGTCACCAAAATACATGAAACAAAAACTGACAGATATTAAAAGAGAGATACAAAATTTGACAATAATAGTCAGAAACCTCAATATCCCACTTTCAAGAATGGCTAGAACAACTAGGCAGATCAACAGTGGAGTAGAAGAGTTGAGTAACGTTTTAAACTAACCAGATCTAGCAGATTTCTATAGTATACGACAAATAACTGCATGGTACATATTTTTCTCAATCACAGATGATACGTTCTCCAGGATGTATCATCCTGGAGCTTGTTACAAAACAAGCTTCATTGCATTTAAAAAGATTTATATCATACAAGGTGCGCTATCCAAACACAATGGAATAAAATTAAAATTAAATAACAGGAAAATTTAGAAAATGTTTGAATACATATATGTTGTACAACACACTTCTGAATGAGTCAAAAAATAAATCTCAAGAAAAATTAGAAAATCTTTTGAGAAGAAACAGAAAGGAAGCTCAACAAATCAAAATGTATGGGACGCTGCTAAAGCAGTACTTAGAGAAAAGTTTGTAGATCTAAATGCCTATATTAAGAAAAAAAGTTTGGAATTAATAATCTATCCTTGCACCTTAAAAAAAGATCAAAAGGCTGGGCGCGGTGGCTTACGCCTGTAATCTCAGCACTTTTGGAGTCCGAGATGGACGGATCACCTGAGGTCAGGCATTCGAGACCAGCCTGGCCAACATGGTTGAAACCCCGTCTCTACTAAAAATACAAAAAATTAGCTGGGCATGGTGGCGCATGCCTGTAATCCCAGCTACTCAGGAGGCTGAAGTAGGAGATTCACTTGAACCCAGGAGGCGGAGGTTGAAGTGAGCCGAGATCGCGCCATTGCACTCCAGCCTGGGAACCAGGGCGAGACTCCATCTCAAAAAAAAAAAAAAAAAAAAAAAAAAGACCAAAAGAAGGAAAGGAAAGCCAAATTAAGAAGGAAGGAAATAATAAAGATTAGAGTGGAAATATGGAAAATAGACACTGGCTAAGAAAAAGAGAAGTCTCAAATGTCTAACATCAGGAATAAAAGAGGTGACATCAATACTGAAATCATAGAAATAAGAAGGATTTGAATGGCATACTATGAACAATTGTATGCCAACAAATTAGTAGCCTATAGGAAATGGACAAATTCTTAGAAAGACACAAACTACTGAAACAGTCTCAAGAAAAAAAAAAAATCTTAATAGACCCACAACAAGAAAGGAGAATAAATTGGGAATCAAAAAACTTCCCAAATACAAAAGCATTGGCCCAAATGACCTCTGGTAAATTCCATCAAATATTTAAAGAATTAGCATAAATTCTTCACAAACCCTTCCAAAAATCAGAAGATGAGAGATTACTTCACAACTCATTTTATGAGATCATTATTAACCTGATATCAAAACCAGGCAAAGACATCACAAGAAACAAAAACTACACACCAATATCTCTTATAAATATTGACACAATTTCTTCAACACAAATTGTATCCGTAACATGTAAAAAGTGTTATATCTTTAATCCTTTTTATGATACTGATATGTAAAAACATATCAGTAGAAATTTATATTCTATATTTCTATATATCTAAATATAAATTTATATAAATTCCTATATTTCTAGATACATTTAAATGAATCAGTAACATATAAAAAGGATAGAAATTTATAAAAAAGATAGTAACATAAAAATATAGAAATTCATATCTATTGATATAAATTTATCAATAGAAATAACTAAGATTTCTCTCAAGAATGCAAGTTTGTTTAACATCTGAAAGTCAATGAATGTAGCATACCGTATTAGTAGAATAAATGACAAAAACTATGTGATCATCTCAATGGACACAATTTTACTAAATGAGTTAAGCAAGATGACAAGATACAAGATCAATATAAATGAACCAATTATATTTTAATATATTAGCAACAAGCAGCCTGAAAATAAAATGGAAAATTTCTATTTACTATAGCAGTGAAATGAATGAAATTGCTAGTGATCAGTTTAACAAAAGTAGGACAAGACATATATACTTGTACAATGAAAACTATAAAACATTATTTAAGGGAATTAAGGAAAACCTAAACAATAGAAAAGACATTCCATATTCATGGATCAAAACATAAGTTTAAACAAAACCTTTGCTGAATATTCATTGTAGCATTATTCACAGTAGCCAAGAAGTGGAAACAACCCAAATGTCCAGGAACAAATGAATAAACAAAATGTAGTATATCCACATAAAGAAATATTATATGGCCACAAAAAGGAAGGAGTGTATGCTACATGGTGTATGCTACAACACTGATGAACCCTGCAGGCATCATAGTAAGTGCAAGAAATGAGACACAAAGGTCACAGATTATTTGACTCTATTTACAAGAACGTTCAGAATAGGAAAATTCATAGACCAACGCAAATTAGTAGGTGCCTGGGACAGAGAAGGGAAAATGGTAAATGACTGCTAATTGGCATATGGTTTCTTTTTGAGGTGATGAAAATGTTATAAAATTAGATATTGTGGTGATGGCACAAATTCTGTGACTGAAAAATACCACTGAATTGTCTACTTTAAACTGGTAAATGTTACAGTATTCAAATTATATCTCAATAAGGCTATTATTAATATTCAGCAGGTAATATGAAAACAAATTTACATGTGTCAATAAACATTTTAAAAATATATAATTAAGCAAGTTGAAGAGTGATACTGTATTAGTGGAGTTCTCTACAGGGACAGAAATAATAGGATAGACACATATGTGAAGGGGAGTTTATTAAGGAGTGTTAAGTCACACAATTACAAGGTAAAGTCCCACAATAGGCAATCTGTAATCTGAGGAGCAGGAAAGCCAGTTTAAGTCCAAAAATCTTAAAAATAGGGAAGCCGACAGTGCAGCCTTCAGTCTGTGGTCTAAGGCCTGAGAGCACCTGGCAAACCACTGGTGTAAGTCCAAGAGTCCAAAAGCTGAAGAACTTGGGGTCTGATGTTTGAGGGCAGAAGCATCCAGCATGGGAGAATGATGAAGGTCAGAAGACTCAGCAAGTCAGCTCCTTCCTCATTCTTTTCTTTGCTTTATTCTAGCAGCACTGGCAGCTGATTATCAGATGGTGCCCACCCAGATCGAGGTTGGGTCTGCCTCTCCCAGTCCACTGACTCAAATGTTAATATCCTTTGGCAACAACCTCACAAACATACCTAGGGACAATATTTTGTGTCCTTCAATCCTATCAAGTTGACTCTCAATATTAACCATCAGAGATATGTATTTTATGGTAATGTATAAATACATTTAAAAACACACATAATATTTTTATGTATACATTCATAAAGAGTAAAAATATAAATAAAGAAAAAATATTGATCAATTTAGGATAACGGTTACCTCATGGGAATGGGAAGAATAGATGGCACCAGGGAGTGGAAAAAAGGGGGCCTTCCACTATTTTAATTCTTGTAACCAAAAATTATGAATCATATTAATCAGGTTTATATTGATTTAGTGGATTCATATATGTTCATTTTTTTAAATATTGTATGTTTGAAAGATGTAATCTTTTAAAAACTAAAGCTAACCTGCCATCATGTATGCTAATTTTCACATGACTGCCCCTTCCCCCATGTTCCCTGTGGGGCTGTACTTGTCCCACACTTTACCCATTCCAATTCGATTAGTCCTTTGGGGTCAATGCAGTCCATCTGGAGACTGACTTCAGCTACACTAAAAGTCTCTTTTGATCCTTTGGTACTGGGCATATCTTGCCTTGTAATGCTGCCTAGACTATAAATCTTGGATGATGGATCCACATTTATTGACTTTTGTTGCCCTGGCATGTCTGCATGGTGACAAGCACATAGTCCAATCTAAATTGTTATTTGTTAAAGTGCTAGGTTGGTATGAATAAGTTGGTATAACCTCTTGCCAAAGTTTAGATCAAGTTTGGGGGTATATGGAAATTTTTCTTGTTAGATATACCGCACAGAAGATGGGTACTCATAGAGGACCAGAATCAGAATTGCAACCATGGAATAAACATGTTTGCTGAAGACTAGGCCTTGTCACGGTTACAAATTATCTTAAGCACATTTTTGCGGGGAGCCTCATCTAAAAATATCAACAGGAATAATAATGATAATAAATCAAATACTTTATTATGCTGGCACCAAGTCCTATGGTAAATATTTTACATACATTTTATCCCCATAAAAATTCTTTGAGCTACATTTATCTAAGTATCAATGAGAAAATGGAGACCCAGAAGGATTAAGTAATTTGCCCCTTGCTAATAAAGGTCAGTTTCAGAGCCCATGCTCTTGGCATCTCTATGTATACATCTCTCTGTGTAATTGTGGAATTGTCCTCCTCAAGGCTACCTGCATTTCCACTTCCCAAGGTCTCCATTTCCCCACTTGGCTATTTCAGAGCTTCTCTTGTTTTCTTCATTTGGTTTATTCTTCAGGCAAATTGGAAATGACTTCTCTACTGCCCAACGTAGCCAAGAAGTTTTTTAAAAATCCCGGAGTTCCTTGTGTTTCTGAATGAACTTTCCTGTGTGTCAAGACAAATTCTGAAAATGTGGGGTGAAAAAGTAGCTACTCAGCTCACATGGAGGGCCTTCTTAAGTACTTTGTCAGGGGAGGAGAAATGTAGAATGACATTTCCAGGCAGGCCATGCAGAGCATTTATAAACCTTTCAGATTTTCATTTCCAGATTGGAAAATGATTCAAGTTAGCTGTTAAGACTACCAACATAAAATGGGTTTTAGAGACCTGGTTTGATTTTAAAATATCAGACTCTGGAAACTAATTTGTGAAAGGAAATTGGTGTGAATGACAAACTGTAATCTCATCAGCGTCTGGATGAGGTGTCCCTTCATCTCGCCCTCCTCACTATTTTCTATTAAAGTCTGTTGACAAATGCCTTGCTCTGCATTCATGCACACATATTTCACATTGCTTCGGTAAGAATTGCCATGGATTTTTATAAATATCTTCTTTATGAGACCTGAATTCTCTTAAGCCTTAATGTGGTAGTTTGGGCTGCCCTAATGTACTGTGTCGAAAGAGGTAA
Organism: Homo sapiens; assembly: GCF_000001405.40. NCBI lineage: Eukaryota > Metazoa > Chordata > Mammalia > Primates > Hominidae > Homo > Homo sapiens. The sequence continues at coordinate 16,979,634 of NC_000002.12, read as the reverse complement.
TATTTGTTTTTTTGTTATCGTTGTTGTTTTTGAGATGGAGTTTTTGCTCATGTTGCCCAGGCAGGAGTGCAATGGTGAGATCTCGGCTCACTGCAACCTCCACCTCCTGGGTTCAAGTGGTTCTCCTGCCTCAGCCTCCCGAGTAGCTGGGATTATAGGTGCCCACCACCATTCCTGGCTAATTTTTGTATTTTTAATAGAGACAAGGTTTCACCATGTTGGCCAAGCTGGTCTTGAATTGTTGACTTCAGGTGATCCACCTGTCTCGGCCTCTCAAAGTGCGAGGATTACAAGTGTGAGCCACTGCACCTGGCCAAGGGGTAATATTTGAATGGTACAATGTTACTGGGCCTCCAGCTTCTCCATGTAGAAGCATACAAAGAACTGGGGCCACAGTTTTGTGCTTTCAGGCTTTTTTTTTTTTTTTTTGTGAGACAGGGTCTTGCTCTATTGTCCAGGCTAGAGTACAGTACCATGATCATGGCTCACTGCAGCCTTGACCTCTTGGCCTCAAGCAATCTTCCTACCTCTCAGACTCCGGAGTAGCTGGGACTACAGGCATGCACCACCACACCTGGCTGGCTTATTTTTTGATTTTTTATAGAAATAAGGTTTCATTATGTTGCCCAGGGTAGTCTTGAACTCCTAGGCTTAAACAATTTGCTCATCTCTGCCTCCCAAAGTGTTGAGATTACAGGTGTGAGCCACCATGTCCAACCACTTTTAGGCTTTTTCTCAACAGGAAAGGGAAACTGCACCAGTGTTGTTTACTATACAGACTCTTGAGATTCCAGAAAGACTTTTCTGGTGGGCCAACTATCCTGGGCATTTTGTGCATTGAAGGAAAGGATTGCAAGTTCCTTGTCATTTCTGTGTTCCAACTCATGATGTCATGACAACTGTAGGACCACCTTTCCTGATGCCAGCCTCGGTTGTGAGAGGAAAACATTTCTCCTCTCCTATGGCTCTAACTCCTGACCCTTTCCCCTTATCTCTTGCTCTCACCTCCCCTATTTCCAGTGGCCAAGACTGTCCCTTGCAAAGCAGCTGCAGCATCTCCAATTTTCTGGTTTTTCAACATTTTTCCTGCCATGTCTATGACAGTCTTGAGTGTTCTCTTTCCAGGAGCAGTATTTATAGCTTTTGTTTCCGCACCACTGGTATTTTTCCAGTCTTGGAACCATTCCATTTATTTAGTTGAATGAATTGTCTTTTTCAACTCTTGGAATGTTTCCTTTGATTCTGAGTCTGCTTGTGGTGCTAAAATTTCTTAACAACCTGTTGGCCAAGGCCCCTTCTTTCTCTTCTGCAGAGGGAACCTAAAGCTGTCCTCTGTGAGAAAGAAATGACTGTGGAATTCATTCTTTTGGTCTTCCAGTTGGGTCATCTCTGCTTATCAATCCACACAGTGGAATGGACTAGAGGTGGCTCCTTCATACCAGAGTAGAAGCAACCTTATTTTCCAATATAAATTTATCATCTTTACTAGACTGAAAACATACTGGCCTTGGATAGAAATTAAGTAAAATTTTCTTCTTCTTCTTCTCCTTCTCCTTTGTTTTTGAGACAGAGCCTCGCTTCATTACTCAGGCTGGAGTGCAGTGGCGCAATCTCTGCTCACTGCAACCTCTGCCTCCCAGATTCAAGCGATTCTCCTGCCTCAGCCTCCTGAGTAGCCGGTATTACAGGTGCCCGCCACCACAGCCTACTAATTTTTGTATTTTTCGTAAAGACTGGGTTTCACTGTGTTGGCCAGGCTGGTCTTGAACTCCTGTCCTCAAGTGACACTCCCGCTTCAGCCTCCTAAAGTGCTGGGATTATAGGCGTGAGCCAGTGTGCCCAGATCTTTTCACTTTTATTGGTGGGCTTGTTTGTTACTGTAAGTTAAAGTAAGAGTCTTCAGAGAATGTAAAACAATTAATCCAGTGACTAATGGGATTAATAGTTTAGCAGTGATCCAGTTGTAGCCAAAAGAGTTAAGTGTTGAATCCCTTCTTGCATCTTACAAACTCTACCACTGTATATTCATATGTCATCAAATTCTCATCTGTTCTAACCTTGCAGCCAGTATGGGAAGTGAGCTCTGATCTGTGGGAGGTCAAGGGTCAGTGGGCTGTTTCAACCCACTTTAGAATCTCTTCAGCAGTGTTACAGCAAGGTTTTATCCTAAAACATGCTTCACCATTAAAAAACAATAATCATTTGGATTTTTATTTTTCTTCCAGTATACCATAGTGTAATCTGCATGAGTAATGCTTCATCTTCTGAGCATGAAGAGAATATACTTCTTCCACAATACAATGTTTTGACTCCTTAGAAAATTATAACTTTTTCTTGGTTTGTTGTTTTTAACTTTATCATTCTCATGGGTCACTAAATGATGCTTCTGCAAAAGGTGGCACTCTTCCCCCAGATGCCTGCATGCAACCATCACTCCCTTAATTCACATCTCTGCTCAGATCCTACCTTATCAGAGAGACTTCCCACGACCCAATATATGAAGCTCCTCTCTCCAAGTATTATCTGTTCCTTTGATAATAGTAGGTGATCCAAGAGAGAAAAGTAGATGGATGAGGATAAGGGTAAAGCTGTTTTCCCTTTTGTGTTTTTTGAAATTTTTGAATGATATAAACATATTATACATTCTAAAAAATTTTTTTCAGTTAAAAAAAACTAGATCTAAAAGTGTATTCCTGTGTTCCCAAAGTTTTTTTTTTCTTTTCTTTTTTTTCTAGTTTCCAGTTTCTCCTGTGCTAATGAGATGGGGCGGTCTCACTTCATTCCACAGCTAAGCCTTGCAGAACTGCCTAACTCCATTCTGGAGGATGTTGCATGGCCCAAGCTCTAAGGGCAGGTGATCTGGTGACTTCAGTTTGAGTTTGGTTGTGTTGTAGGAAGAGGGAGAGAGGCTGTCTAGGCTAAAAGAGTGTACTGGTCTCCTATTGCCACTTTAACAAACTAATCCAAATATAGTGGCTAACAACAACAGAAATTTCTCTTACAGTTCTGGAAAACAAAAATCCAAAATGGGTCTCACTGGGTTAAAATCAAGGTGTCAGCAGGGATGTGTCCCTTTAAAGGCTCCTGGGAGACTACATATTATTATTAGCACACAAGCCAACATATCACACCCAGAATCTCAGGTTCATGCACCGATGTCAATAAATTCAACCCAATTCAATGATATATTCCTCTTAGTTTAAAATCCTTAGAATTCCCATGTATATCACTCAGTTTTCTGCCAATACAAATATAAAAATCTTGCATGTCTTTAGGAGTATGAGCCTTCTTCTATGCCAGCCTCTGTGCCTTATCCCCCTTGAGTATGCTGAGATCCGACTCTATTTCAACCTTTAGATGTCAGGAGGGATGGGTGTAGATCTTGAGAAAAGTAAAACCCTCCTCACAAAGCCATTGGCTTAGGTGACCTTATTACAAGCAAGAGAAGACTGGTCTATTCTGTTATGGAAGAACGGGCTGCATCTGCTGGTAAGAGAGCTTAAGAAAGATGTGGGGATTTGGCAGGGCGTGGTGGCTCACACCTGTAATCCCAGCATTTTGAGATTACAAAGTGGAGGCTGAGGTTGGGCGGATCACAAGGTCAGGAGTTTGAGGCCAGCCTGGCCAACATGGTGAAACCCCGTCTCTACTAAAGATATAAAAAATTACCTGGGCTTGGTGGCGCACACCTGTAATCCCAGCTATTCAGGAGGCTGAGGCAGGAGAATTGCTTGATCCCGGGAGGCGAAGGTCGCAGTGAGCTGAGATCATGCCATTGCACTCCAGCCTGAGTGACAGGGTGAGACTCCATCTCAAAAAAAAAAAAAAAAAAAAAAGATGTGGGGATTCAGTATTCTCAGCTTCATTCAGGTTTTTCTAGATACCCCATTCAAAGTCTCAGGAACCCAGTCTTTTCACAGAACTTCTAGGTTTCATTTGTAAAATGTAATGAATCTATAAATCCAAGGGTTTTTTATTTTGGTAATTGTGCAATGTATAGAATTAAATTATACTTTATTAATTATTTTATAAGGATTTTAGAAGCTTTTTATGACTAAGACTTGCACTAACAATTTAAAGCCTAGTGAACTTGGTATTTTTTTTTTTCAAGAACTCCAGTGCAAGCATCCCTGTTTTTAACATCAAGGATATGGCTGCTGGCAGCTTCTCTGAAGGGGTACAATGAGGCTGGTTCTGAAAGTGCTAAAATAAGTTGGAGGCTGGACCAAACCTCTTCCCCTGGGTGGTGTTAATAACAAGACACAGGAAAGAAGTGTCTTGCTCTCCTCTGCCTCCAGTCTCCCTTTATTACTTCCTACTGGCAAAACCTAAGAGAACACTGCTGAAAAAGTTGTCTTGGAAATCTAGGAGGATGGCTCTTAGGTCATAATATAGAATAGTGAGCTTGGAACAAAGAACCATCAGGCAAACATTTGGAACAGAATATGCCATAAAAGTGTGTATCCTTCATTCATAAGATTTAGTATCTAATGTCAGTATCTCCTACCTTGGTCTCTACGTTCCAATAAGACAAGAACACTGACTGGCTTTGTTTATTTTTCTATTACCTAATACACTGCCTGGTTTAGAGTATGCAATTCAGTAATACTTGTAGAATGAATAGAGATAATCTTAAATTTAATAAAGGATTAATGTTTAAATATCCTTAGGATTTCTGCCAATAGCCTTCCACAAAGACAATACATTCCTATAAAACTTCTTAATCTACTTTCTCCCATGTGTCATGTCAAAGTTGAGTGTAGCAAGAATCTAGTCTGCCTCTAAGGTCCATGCACATGAGTCAACCTTAATATCATCAAAACTGAATATTATGAGGGTTGTTGAATCAATCAGGAAATGTGAACAGTGGTTGACTGCTTTCTCCTTATTATCCTTAGAATATTCTCCTTAGACATGTATTAAAGCATATGGGAGGAAGAGAAGAAGAGAATTGATGAGATTGCCATCTATCTCACTCTCTTGTTAGTTAACTCCAACTTGTTTGAAATTAGTTATATACAAATCATTTGATAGACACATCACAACCTGAATAAACTGATCATATTAAGGAATAAGACTTTGACAAAATGTGCATTCTTAGACATTCCTGCTCCTCTCTAGACCTCAGTTTACTTACATATTCTGCAAGAAGCTTGAACTAGGAGTGGCCCATTTCCATGGCTGAGGCATACTTGTGAATAGAAGCAAACGTGGTGAGAGTCAGAGAACAGAGTAGAAGATCTGAAATGCTAAGATAATGAAGACAGAGAAAATGTTATTATCAAAATTGTATTTTGAGAAAATGAACGTGGGAATAGGTATCAGATAGAAGAGCGAGGAAACAAACAATAGGAGGCTGCAGAGTACAGTCATTTAAGTTTGAATCTCTAAGAGTCAACACAAGAATAAACAGAAAAAAATTTAATTTGTAAGATAGAAGTTTAAGCATTCAGTTTCCCTTACTAATAGGAACATATGAACTTGTTTTTTCCTTTTGTGGCACAACTAATGGGCCTGACTAATGCAAAATAAGTTTGGATGTTAATTTTTCATGCATTGTCAGCATATTTCTGAAGCAATCTTACCACCTGATTATATATTTAGAATGTTTCAATCTAATGTGCTCAAAGGAATCTGTTCTCTCTTCCCTCTTGAGACTCTTCTCAGGACTTGGGATTAGTGTAGCCTGGTGGCAGTTGTCTCAGTCCCTTGGCACACCTAGCTGGCTTAAGTTGGGTTTCTTGATGTAATTCTCATTTAAGTTGTGGACAGCAGCATCTTTTGACTGCTGGCTTATTTCTCCATGGCATTTCTTTTCTTCATCTCATACAGCTTTGGAAATCATCCAGGGCTTTGTGGTCAGTGTGTTTCTCAGCTCTGTGGGGAGGCAGAGAGGACTGAGAAGTCATCAGATTCCTTTTTCTCTCAATCCTTAATTAAACCAATGAGCCTCTATGTTTCCCTTAGCAGTTAAAGCCAATGATGAGGAATCTTTCCTCGAGGGAAGCAATGTCCGATAAAATTCTCTGTAATAATAGAAATATATCTGTGTTGTCCTATTTGGCAGCCACTAGCCACCTATGGCTGTTTAAATTTTCATTTAAGTTAATTAAAATTAAATATTATTAAAAATTACATTTCAAGTGTGCAATAGCTGCATCGGCTTGTGGCTCTCATATGCAGTTTAGGGGGATCCAGATTGTTGATGTATTCTGTCCTCTGTGGCTGCCTAGAAAGTAATATTACCCTCAAGCGAAGTTTACCTTTCCTCTTAAAAATATAATTGCTGCCCTACACCTGGGAAAGGTCTGAGGACACATAGCAATTTCAAACTCTGCACTGTCCCTAGTTTTCCTGATTGCAATGCTTCCCTCTGTCTCTGGCTTTCTAAATATATCCACCACTCAAGACTCTGTTCAAATATCATCTGCCTTGAAAATTTGGTCTGTACAGATCTGCTTCTAAACTATTACAGAGTTTAGCATTCAATTATTCTCTTGCTATTTTTTATCTTTAGTCATGGCATCTCTAATTATATCATAACAATTACTCCAAATAGGACTTGGACCCCATCACTCCAAGGAACTTTCTTGCGATGGTCACCAAAGTTAGTGACTTTGACATTGCCAAATCCTATGATCGTTTCCTTACTCTTACTCAAACTCTCAGCAAGATCATACATTGATCATTCTACTTTTTAAAAAATCCATCATTTTGCTAGCTTTTGAGACACGATACTTACTCCTCTGATTCTATTCCTATCTCCTTATCAGCACTATTCTCTGTTTTTTCCCCTTTTCTTTTTCTTTAAATCTCTTTCTCAATTGCAATCCAGAAGTCTCTTCTTTAATTATCTTTCCTTAGGTGACCTCCACAGTTCACCTAGCATTAAATAATATCTATATGCCACTGACCTAATACTGATATTTCCAGCTTTGGCCTCTGCCAGAAAGCACAGACTCAGACTCCTATATATAAGGCTTCCTTGATGTATTCATTTAAATGTCAAATATGTATCTAAAATTAACATATTTGAAAGAAAAATCTTGATTCTTTACCAAATACTATTTCTACCCATTCCAGAACAATATGTCCACCCACTCTGTTTTGTCACATCCCAGTAAATGGTTTCACCATCTTTCCAATTTCCTAAGCCAAAACCTTGGAGTTATTCTTGATGACTCACTTTACATAATTCCTCATAAGCAATGCATTGGCAAGTCCTCTTGGATCTCACTTCAGAACATTAATTTTGCTAATAAAACCTCTTCTCTGCATTTTCACTCCTATCATCCTCATCTAAGACGCAGCCATTTCTCCATTCCCTTCTCCCATTTCTTAGCTGAACTAACTATTACCTAGGTGATATCTTTTCTCTTATGTTCTTTTACCATTTCTTACCTGGACTATTAAAATAATTTCCTAAGGGCTTAGCTGTTCCATAGTTTATAACTTTATCTTTAAAAAAATCCAAACTTCCGGAGTATAAAGCCCTTCACAGTCCAGTTTCCAGCTTCCTCTACAACATCATCTCTTACCAGTTCCTCACTCTCTCATGCAACTCCTGCCACACTCAACTGCTTTCTGCTCTTTGGTCATATAGAACTCATTAACCAGTTGTTTCTCTGGCTGCAACACTCAACAGCCTCATTGTTGCCTGGATGGTTCCTTTTTATTATTGAGGTCTCAGGGGAAAAAAAGTCCTTGTCATGGTCGTCTATGACCATTCAGTCTAAAAAGTACCTTGGTTTCTCTCAGCCACATATTCCTGTTTCAAATGCCTCATTGTACTTATCATCCGTAACCTGAGACGTTTTCATCATGTGTTTGTTTAAAATCACCCTTCTCCCACAGGAAGGTATCTTCATAGAAGGTAGAAACTTGTCTTTGTCACTGGCTCTATCCTGCAAAACTAAAATTGGGCCTGACACACAGTAGTGTCTTAGTCTGTTTGTCCTGATGTAACAGAATATCTGAGACTGGGCAATTTATAATAAAATTTGGGATGCTGAGAAGTCCATGTATTAGTCTGTTCTCGCATTGCTGTAAAGAACTACCTGAAACTAGGTCATTTATAAAGAAAAGAGGTTTAATTGACTCACAGTTCAGCATGGCTTGGGAAGCCTCAGGAAACTTGCAATCATGATGAAAGGGGAGTCAAACACATCCTTTGTCATGTGGCAGCAGGAAGGAGAAGAATGAGAACTGAGGAAAGAGGAAAGCCCCTTATGAAACCATAAGATCTCGTGAGAACTTACTATCACAAGAATAACATAGGGAAACAGCCCCCATGATTCAATTACCTCCCACCAGGTCTCTCCCATGACATGTGGGGATTATGGGAACTACAATTCAAGATGAGATTTGGGTGGGGACACAGCCGAACCATATCAGAGGCCTTAAGAAATTTTCAACTATGGCAGAAGAGTGAAGGGGAAGCAAGCATGTTTCCACATAATGGCAGGAGAGAGAGCTAAAGGGGAAGTGCTAAACACTTTTAAACAACCAGATTTCATGAGAACTCACTCACTATCACAAGAACAGCAAGGGGGAAATCCGCCCCCATGATCCAATCACCTCCCTTCAAGACCCGCCTTCAACACTGAAGATCATAATTCTATATGATATTTAGAGCCAAACCATATCAGTCCAAGATCAAGGGGCTTGTACAGTTCTGAATGCTGGAAAGTCCACGATCAAGGGGCCTGAATCTGGTGAAGTCCTTCTTGCTATTTCATCCCATGGTGAAAAGAGGAAGGTCAAGAGAGGAAGAAAGGGGGCCAAATTTCCCTTTGATAACTGCACAAATTCCCTTCATGAGAGTGTAGCCTCACGGCTCAATTGCCTTTAAGTGTCCCACCTCTTAATACTATTACAATGGCAATTAAATTTTAACATGACTTTTGGAGAAGACAAACATTCAAACCATAGCAGTGGGTACTCAATATTTATTACATGAACAAATTCATGAATTTTTCAAGTAGAAAGCACTTAAGAAATTACAAGAAGCTTTGTGAACTGCTATATAATTGAATTTTTATAAACAACCTGTAGAAAAACAGTATTACTATGCACACTTTGAAGACAGAGTTCATAGAAGTCTCTTGATGTCGCCAGGGTCACAGATCTTAATAGGAAGAAGGTGTCTATAGACTGTTTACATCCAGTATAAATCTAGAACAACACTTAGTGCAAAACATGACATATAGTACACATCAGCAAGATGTGCTGAATGGCTTAATTATATCATAGCAAAAAGTTGGGCTCATGCCTTCTTTACGTGTTACTGTAATTTGTAACACAGTATCTGTAGTTAATAGACAGTCTGGTACATTTTATTAAAGAATTAATTGGCAAGTGAATTAATAAATAAGTTACTTAATTTTTATTTATCTTTGATATTCAGTGATTCTACATCATGCATAAATGGGCATTTATTACTTATAATTGGATAACTATGATGTATACCAATTATAACTACTCATTGCTTATATAATTACTTATAATTGGTTAACTATTAATATTTGAAGAAATTTTTAAAAATAATTTCATGATACCTTTTGAGACATGGGAGTATCAGGGTTACAGATTTGGTATTCACTGATCCAATATTTTCATAACATCAGCAATGATGCCTGAATATGAAGCAAAATTTAGATTAATTTGAGGGAGTTCTGGAAAGATGCTGTAGCAACAACATATTTTTTTAAATTTATCTGAATAAAAACTAACAGAAAATTTGGATAGAGAAACCAAAACTCATGAACAACACTTACAACAAAACCAAGCGACAGGTATCCCCATGAGTTCCAAATACAAGTGTGTGAGGGCAGCCTCCCAACAGCGACACAGCTGAACAACATTAGCATCTGTGCTGGCAGAAGCAGAAAGAAGCAAGAGATGTCTGAAGTACCTGAGACTACAACTTAAAAACAGTTAATATTTATTTGCTTAAAAATGCTGTGGACTACTTTTAGAATAGCAGCTGAAACTAGGAATAATTTTGTCCGTTCTAGAAAGAGAATCTACAGTAATGCTTGAAGGAGCTGTTCTAGATTGGCTACCATGAAAATTTAAAACTAAGCTGCCAATGCATCCTTTTCCAAACAGAAGTCCACACTGAGAAGAAACTGCCAAGAGGAGATTTGGCATTGAGCAGATTAGAAATAAGAGGATAAGGTAAAATAATTCTAAGTAAATTGCAGGGAACAAAACAGAGAAGTTTCAGAAAGAAGGCCACGGTATCTTTGAACACTATGTGAAAATTAGAGAGGAGGGAGCTCTGTAAGCCTATATGCTGAAAGCCATCTTCTTCTAAAAGTTGAAAGAAAGAATCATGTACTTATCCTATCTGTTCTGTATGAACTGTACCACCAAGTGTACAAAAAGCATGAGAGAGAGAGACATTGTCCCTTTATAAATGTAGTCTATAATACATACTTTCAGAAAAATAAAAAAGAAATAAAGAATTAGAATGTCACCATTTTTTCAACCTCCAGTGAATTAATGGACCCAGGGACTGAGCACCAACATCTCCTGGCACGAAAAGGGCAACAGCCAGACATCATGTGCCTTATGACAAAGATGACAAAGAACATCACACAACTTCTAGTGTTGCCAAAGGGATTAAACATGAGCCTGATTAGGCTTCTGGATTCAGCTGCTGGTTGCAAAAAATACAGAGGGCAGAAGAAGACGTTGAGCTGTACCATGAGCATTCAATCAGCAAAGTCTAGACTGTGGAAAAATCTATAAGCCAAGTGATCCAGTTTGTTCAACAGATATAAGGAAATAAAATCTTAGGAGTTTTATAGGAGGGGAAACCTACAGATTAAATAACAAAGCTATAATATATTTTTAAACTGGAAGATTAAACTGTAGAGTATAAAGATGTCCACTTGGGTGATAAAATACAAAGAAGTGATTAGTATAATATAAAGATCGAATTAGTGTTCACTTTTGAGGAAAGAGATTGGCCATGATTGGGATGAAGAGGTGTCTGGATTGGCCAGCAAAGTTCTCTTTCTTGAACTGGGTTGCAGTGAGTGTTTATCTAATAATACCTCATTAAGTTATACATTTTATAATTTTTGTGTGTATATATTTTATCTTATAGCAAAAAAAGATGTTACAAATAGAATAATCAACATCTTCGATTTCACTGAGAAATTATGAGTTACTTGGGAACTATAGAAAGGTTTGTAGAGACATGATGTGGCATTTGGTTGCTTAGGAATCTTGAACAATTAGGGAGAATCTTGGAGGCCTGGGTAGAGATATAGGCCACAAGAAGGGCTCAAAGTACTGCTGTGTCTTAACTTACTATCTCCTCTGGGTCAAGAGGAGAGAGATCTGTCTGGCACTGTATGACAAAGATTGTGAGTGAGCATTAAGTAAAGCTCTGCTTGAAAAAGACACTGGGGGCTAATCACTGTGCCTTTCTAAACAAAAGTCGGCAGGTATTCGAAAGGCAGAAGCCTGCAGATATCCAGGAAGAGGCTGAGTCAGTGTAAAATGCCCCTAATTAGTGTGCCAAGCTCTCCACTAGACCCTGAGGTGAGCAATGCCCTGTGCCACACAATCAAGCCATGCCATAGAGAAATGTAAAAACCAAAGCCTCTGTGTATGTTATTGTTTCTCTTCCTTAGGCATAAACAAGTTATAGAAAAGATGATTCTCTCAGAAAGCATTAATTATGTAATATTTCAGTGTTGGAGAGAGGGAAAAGTACAGCAGTGAGTAAACTGGCCTTCTCGGAAGTACCTACCTATTACTAATTGAGTAGAAAAATCTTGCAAATAATCACTGGCCCAAAATCAGTAGTATTGATCAACCCCATAAAATGGTGCCATCATTTATTAACTTGTTTTAAATTCATCCACTTACCTCTATTACTCCAGGCCACTATCATCTGTCTTATAGGTTACTGGAAGTAACCTCCTGACTGGTCTCCCTGTTCTTGGTATTATTACCCCATTGAATCTATTCAATATGGTGTAATCTTTTGTGTAAAACTTTTCAGTGACTTTTAGTGACACTTGGGGGAAAAAAACTCGAACTCTATACCACAGCCTAAAATGCTCTAACTGCCTTCCTGAACTTATTTACTATCTATCTTGCCTGTTCTGCTTCTTTTTGTTCTAGAACATGGCAAGTTCAGACTTACCTTATGGCTTTGCACTTCTTGTTTTCCGTACCTGGGATTATGTGTTCCTGAGGTTTCATGTGCCTGGTTCTTTCAAATCGCTCAGCTCCTAGTTCAAGTACTGCCACTTCAGAAGGCCTCACAGAATCCAATTTTACCCATTTATGCCAGAGGTTGCAATTTTTTGAATAACAGACATGTATGAAAAATCAGACCTTGGCGATGACCTTGAGCAGTAAGATATAAATAACTCCCATATGCATAGCATTCCAATAATGGAACACTAGGCATAAATGGAAAGAGTTCTTAGTTTTTCTCATACATCATCATTTTATTTTCATCATTATATATTGACTATATGAAATTATCTTGTTTACTTTTGTTTATTTGTTTACCTGTTCTTTGTCTTGTCTGTTTCTACCTCCTGGGAACTAAATCAATGCGGAAAAGGATGCGGAAAAGGATGTTGCTTGTCTTGCTCTGCATTGTGCCTTCTTCACTGAAGTCCCATGCCTTTCATCACAGAAAATCCTTGAATATTTGCAAATAAATAAATGAAATAGATTACTGTCTGATTTTTGGAATTTCACAGACTGTTTTGGGGGTGCCATTCACTCAACAAGTTCATGTTTTAATCTGTATTATTATCCATTCTAATTTTTTTTACAACTTATTTTGTTGGAAAAGTGACCTACTTATAATTCTCTAAACACACCATTCTGTCTTATTCTTCCATGTGTTTATACATTGTCTTCCATCTCTGGGGTATGCCCTCCATTTAATTCCTTAGTGTCCTAGGTAACTTCTGCCCAGGTGCATATCTTAGTTCATTTTGTGTACTATAATGGAGTACCTGAGACTGGGAAATTTATAAAGAACAGGACTTACAATTCTGGAGGCCAGGAAGTCCAAGGCTGAGGGCCAGCATCTGGCAAAGGCCTTCTTGCTGTATCATCCCATGGGAAAAGGTAGGAGGGTAAAATAATACATACACAAGAGAGGGAAGGAGTCAAACTCATCCTTTAATCAGGAACCCACTCCTGCAACAACTAATGCACTTCCAAGATAACAGCATTAAGCCATTCATGAGGGCAGAACTCTCATGACCTAATCACATTTTAAAGATTCCACTTCTTAATACTGTTGTATTGGGGATTACTTTTCTAACACATGACCTTTGAGGGACATATGCAAACCATAATACACATGCTTTGTAATATTGATTAGCCCTATCTTCCAGTTTATTATCCCATCTTCTCTACTACTTTGGAAGTTTGTGCATTATCTTACTCTATTTTAATACATTTCACAGCATTATGTGCTTATTTTTTACATATCAATATCCATTAAATTGTAAAGTTAATGAGAGCAGAAATGAAACAATATTTATTAATATATTTCCAGTACCCGGCACATGATAAGGACTATGACTTAATATGTGAATAAACTCAGGTTCTAATTTTGCATGGGTTAACTTGGGCAAGGATAGGATATATGGCTTGATACTAGCTTTAAGATTTTAGACTGTTAATATTTTTTTCTGATATAAAGTATTATGGAAATGGTTATGTTTTCTAGTTTTAATGTGTATATATATTCCAGTGGAACAACCCAAAAGGGACTATAGGAAGACTTTTTCTATTCTGTATAATCAAATTGAATTTAGGGTTAGGAATGTGGGCTTCATGTCCCACAAAATATTTCAAATCACAGTTTAATTTCTATTGACATTGCTTTCATTTTGGCATCTATATAAACTTTATTTCATTCATGGCATGTTCGTTTTATAGACTGAAGCATCAGCTTTTGAGGGTTCTGTCATCATGTCTACATAGTTTTCCTATGCGTAAAATAAGAGTATACCATGGGAATTTCTGTACAGCAAAATAGTTAAGACCAAAGCTTTTGAACCTAGACTGAGTTGAAATCCTAGCTCTGCCACTAGTCAGCTTTGTGTCCTTGAGCAGGGTAGTTAACCTTGTTTATTGCTAGATTTTCTTTTCTGTAAAATGGGGGCTAATATCAGTACCCATCATCTGGCCAGGAGCAGTGGCTTATGCCTACAATTCCAGCACTTTGGGAGGCCGAGGCAGGCAGATCACTTGAGATCAGGAGTTCAAGATCAGCCTGGCCAACGTGGTGAATCCCCCTGTCTACTAAAAATACAAAAATTAGCCAGGTATGGTGGCGAGCACCTGTATTCATCCCAGCTACCTGGGAGGCTGAGGCAGGAGAATCGCTTGAACCTGGGAGGTGAAGGTTGCAGTGAGCCAAGATCATGCCACTGTACTTCAGCGTGGGCAACAGAGCAAGACTGTCTCAAAAAACCAAACCAAACCAAACAACAACAACAGCAACAAAACAGTACTCATAATATTAGGTTATGATGAGAATCAATAACCAACACATAAAACGTCCTTAAACAGGGCAACGTACATAGTAAGCACTCAACATATTGTTATTAGTGTTCTTTCAGAAGGTATAGGAAACCAGTGTTTTCATACCATGCTGATCTTGGACCCTGAGAACATTTTTTTTTTTTTTTGACACAGGGTCTCACTTTGTCACCCAGCCTAGAATGCAGTGGCACAAAGATAGCTCACTGCATAGTTGAACTCCTGGGCTCAAGAAATCCTCCCACCTCAGCCTTTCTAGTAGCTGGAACCACAGGTATGTACCACCATGCCCAGCTAAATTTTAAAATTTTTTTGTAGAGACAGTGTCTCACCCTGTTGCCCAGGCTAGTCTTGAATTTCTGGGCTCAAGTGACCCTCCTACCTTGGCCTTCCAACCTGAGAACTTTTATATTTCTTAGAAAGTTTGTGGTAATCTGAATCATATAAAATATTTTCACACTTTAGCCTACTAATTACCTCTAGAACTATCTTCAAAGAGATATGAACATGATCAATGAGACATTACTTAAAATAAAAATTGGAGCCATGATTAATTGTATCAGGTCATTCTTGCACTGCTATAAAGAAATACCTGAGACTTGGTAATTTATATATATATATATATATATATATATAAAGGAGTTTGACTGGGTTATGGTTCTGCAGGCTGTACAGGGAGCTTGATGCTGGCATCTTCCTGGCTTCTGGGGAGGCCTCAGGAAACTAGCAATCATGGCAGAAGGTGAAGGGGAAGCAAGCCTGTCACATGGCTAGAGCAGAAGCAAGAGAGACAGAACAAGGTGCCACACGTTTAAATAGCCAGATCTTGTGAGAAGTCACTCACTATTGTGAGTACAGCACCAAGGGGATGATCCTAAACCATTCGTGAGAAATCCATCCCCATGATCCAATCATCCCTCACTAGGACCCACCAGAATACTGGGGATGACAATTTAACATGAAATTTCGGGCAGGGACACAGATCCAAACCATATTATTAATATTTAAAAATAGACCAAGCAGTAATCATTTTTTAATGGAGTATCATGTGATTCTTAAAATAAGAATTACATAGACCATATGAAAACATGAAAAAAATCCTAATAATGTTGAATAAAATATTCAAGATTTAATATGCAGATTACAAACTTGTAAAACTCAATTCATACTTGCAGATAGTTGATTTACTTATGTAAAATATTCTTCAAGGACCAAGTGCAGAAAATATAAATGTACACAATGTCTTTTACCTTTTAAATGCTCAATATATATTTGATTGAAAAAAAAGTGACTGAAGTAATGGGAGCAATAGCTCAGCTTTTAAAATTGCATTATAATGAAGCAGTGGTTCTTAACTGCGGGTAACTCCTCCCAACTCCATCTCCAACCCCAGGAACATTTTCAACTGTCACAACTAGAAAACTGCAAGACAAGAGCTACTACTTGCATCTAGTTAAAAGAGGCCAGAGATACTGCTAAATATCATTCATTGCACAGGATAGCTCCATACAACAAAGAATCACCTGGCCCAAAATGTCCACTATGCTGCCGTTGAGAAACCTTGCAATATGGGTATACTGCTCTTTGTCAGAGTACACCGGGGATCTGGTCATCACAGAAAAGGAAGAGACGATATTGTTAAACTTAAATCTAGTTCTTTGGGGGAACCTGCAGAAATTCAGAAGTTTTTAGCATTTATTTGATGGATTGCCTATAATTTAACTTGCATATATCACAGTGATCTTGACATGGGAAAGTGTAATTCAAGTCTTGAATCTTCCCTTAAATTTTATCTTGATAAGACAGATGACCTAGGCCATCTTTTCCAGGTGTACCGTTGTAAGCCATAAATGTGCGTGTCCTCAAGGAAATCGATGGAGAGAACATTTCTTTGATATCTAGACACTTTGCTTCTTATCTGTCCCATTCTCCTCACTTTCAGACATACACACACAATTTAGTGATCATTGAAAAGTTGCTTCACTTCTCTCTGCCTCACTAATCTCATCTGTAAAGTGGAGATTACAGTAGTTTTCCTGCAGATTAGTTCTTGTCTATTAAACGTGTGTGTGTGTGTATGTGTATGTGTATGTGTGTATCTGTGTGTGTGTATGTGCATGCATGTGTATTTGACCACTATTCTATAGAGTACAATGTAACTCTAGACACAAAGTCTCTATATATCTCCCCTTTATTGCCTAAATAGCTCTCTGTGGAGAAGTCTGTCAGTAACAACATAAGATTATTTGTTCTACTCTAAGGATCTTTCTTTGCCCTTTGTCTATGAACAGGAATCAGTCTGGACAGAGCTTCAGGAGCTCAATAGACTCTGAGCTAATGTTGTTCATTCAGAATCTGCATCTTCAGACTACAAAGGGGCCCATCAATTTTATCTCAGACCTGGAGCAGCTGTATTCAATTAACACTGTGTCACACAACCACCCATTCTGGGACCAACCCCCATCCTTTGTCTCCACTGAGACTTGCCTTCACTTGGAGAAAGGCCTGCAAACTCGTCATTTATCAGACAGACTCAGCTTTGATAGAAAACTTTAGCCACAGAACTTGCTATCATATCTGTGGGAAATGTTCCAACCCTAAAGATGTGTGGGCTGATTAAAATTTTTATTACCCCTTAAAAATTGAAGATTGAATTTAGTACATACAGAAGCTAAGGGTATCTTATTTGGTTTTAAATTTGACTGACGAAGACCTCTAGCTTCTAAGCTCCTAGTTTTTTGGATTAACTTTTCATACCATAAAACCACTTAATCATGAAAATGGCAGAGTTAACATTCACACTCTCAGTTCAGATGCTGTGAAGAAAAAGGTTGTTTCAGCCACAGGATTAGAGGGGCAAGTACGTGGACTAGGAGTACACACATTCTTCTTGCTTCCTGAGAGGCTCACTTAAAATCTCTTTTGGGAAGAGATTCCAAATCCAAACTCCCAAGCAGAGCCTGTCTCCTCTGGGCAATAAAGGGTGGGATTAACTCTAGCCCCCTCATCCTTTCCCCTTTTATCTCATCTTTGGTGGCCTGTGGCTCTTGTTACCCTCCCTCACTCACTAAGTCTGCTTTTCATTAAGAAATATGCTGTCAAACAATTATACCTCAAGATAGAGAAATATTTGAACCAAAGAATCTAGGAGCTAAAAGAAAAAGCTGGTAGTAAGATATTCAATATATTAAAAAGAAATAGAAACTCAGTGAGATGTGGTTCCATTCCCTGAGAATACCCAACATGTCAGCTTAGGACAGAAATGTGATTAAAAGGCAAATTTCCTGAGTCCCAGACTAGAACTCTGTATTAAAGCTATGATTTACAACAATGAGAAGTAGGTTTAATTTAGTCCATACACTAAGCCCAATATAATTTGCATGATGAAGGAAAATATTTTTAAAAAGTATTCATGTGAGAATAAAATGGAGAAATGTATTGGGCCTTTAAACTTGTTTAAACATCTTTTTGGGCTATTGTAGACAGAATTCTTAGATGTCTCCCGAGATTTCTGCTCCCACCCCCTGGTGTACTCATCTGTATAATCCTTAATCTTTGAATGTGGGTGTGAACATGATGTGACACAACTGCCATAATTTGCTTACCTTATATGACAAAGCTTAATGGATCTCACAGATATAATTAAGGTTCTAATCAATTGACTTTGTGTTAATCAAAAAGGGTATTTTCTTAGTTGAGCACAACCTAATCAGGTGAATTGTTAAAAGCAGTCAGATAAACCTAAAGGGAAGTTCTCCTGCTGGTCTTGAAGGAGCAACCACAATGAGTTCTACAGGTTCAAGAAAAATAATTCTTCCAACAAACATGTGAGGCGGGATGAAGACCCAGAATATCAGAAGAGACAGTAGCCCTAGCCGATACTTTGTGAGAATTGGAGCAAAGGTCCCAGGCAAGCCTTGCCCAGACACTTGACTCACCTAAACAACAAGATAATTAATGGATGTTGTTTTAACCACTAAATTTATGACAATTTATTATACAGAAATAGGCAACTAATGCAGATTTTGGTAACTGGAAGTGGGGTGCTACCGTAATGAAAACCTAAAAATGTAGGAGGAGCTTTGGAATTACACAGTGGGGAGAGACTGGAGGAATTTTGAAGAGTATAACAGAGAAAGCTTTAATTGCCTTGAACAGATTGTCAGGAGAAATGTGAACTTTGAGGGTGCTGTTGGTGAAGTCTTAGGAGGAGGTGGTGAACATGCATCTGGAAACTAGAGGAAGGGTCCTTGTCATTAGGTAGTGAAAGAACGCTTAGTGAAATTATCTCCTGTACGTATGTGGAAAGCAGAAGCTCTAAGTGATGAGCCTGGTTTTTAGCAAGGGGATTTCCAAGCTGCTTTGTGGTTTCTTGCTGCTCATAGTAAAATGTGAGAAGAGAGCGATAAATTGAGAGAAGAACTGTTAAAAAAAAAAAAAAAGTAGGACTTTACCATTTTGAAAATTTGGCCTGTAGCAGGTTTTGTACAACCCTGAGCTAAAAATGTTCTTTATATTTTTACAAAGCTTCCAGAGTAGTTTCACTAATTACCAATCCTGAGGGAGGAATCCCACTGCATGGAGAAGAGCTAAGATCATCACTATGCCAACCGCCAGGAATAGGAGTCCAGACGTGTCTGTCCAGTGCATCTTGGGCTACAGTTTGACCAATAGCCTGAGTTTGGCAAGAGAGAACATATTCACACACAGCAAGTTATATGAAGTGGGTTCATATACAAATAGGCATCAAGGGATAAAAGGAGTCTCAGGTCCATTGTGAGCTGGTCCTTTCTCCACCAGATTCAAGAAAGCTGCTGGGGTGGATGGAGGATCAATTACATGTGCCCCTCTTGCACCACAGCTGAAGGACCCTGACAGAGAGCCAGTCCTGGGTTATATACTTCAGGGGCAATATGAATCACTGGGCAAAGCTTGAAAGGATATCATGCTTCTAGGGTAGGGAGGAACAAATGATAGGCCATCCCAGTCAGTTCCTCCTTAAATCAAGATGTATTCCGCCAGGTGCGGTGGCTCACGCCTGTAATCCCAGCCCTTTGAGAGGCCAAGGCAGGTGGATCACAAGGTCAGGAGTTCGAGACCAGCCTGGCCACCATGGTGAAACCCCGTCTCTACTAAAAATAGAAAAATTAGCCGGGCATGGTGGCGGACGCCTGTAATCCTAGCCACTTGGGAAGCTGAGGCAGGAGAATCGCTTGAACTCAGGAGGTGGAGGTTGCAGTGAGCTGAGATCGCGCCAGTACACTCCAGCCTGGGTGACAGGGCAAGACTCCGTCTCAAAAAAAAAAAAAAAAAATGTTTTATTCCTTAGGAAAGACAGGAGCAAGGCAAGGCCCAGGCTGCTTCAGGCAGTTCTTATCTTAAGATACTACATCCCAGCACAGTTATTCTAAAATCTACACGCAGGAAAGGGTGGGTGGGGAAAACTGGGTTTGTCCAAGGCCACCCAAAGAACTGTACCACAGAACTGACTAAAAGAGAGAAAAAAAGTACTATGTAACAGAGACTGTATATGACTTGCAAAGTCCAAAATAATTACCATCTTTAGAGAAAAGATTTGGCTGCCTTTGTTCTAGAAGATAAAAGCAGAACTTCTCAAAGTGAGTCTGTAGGACTCTAGGATGCTTTTATAGTCACTACAGGATATTTTGTCGTGGTGGACACAGACCAGTGGGGTAGATGATGGGTGAGCCATTCTTAACAAACGAGAAGGAACCAGAATCTTAACAGCGTCAACTCGAATGATGGGAAGTTGATGTAGGTGACTCTGTGGTCTGTTCCTCATCAGCCTTAACTTAGACACCCTCTTCCTAATGTATTGAAGAGGGGTGTCAGGTAAAACAATATCACTGCTCATTAAAATGAACTTTGATGACGTTGTGGCTGTATTTGGGGGCTTGGATTCTACTGACTTTAGAAAATGCATGGATAAAAATACATATGTAAAGGAACTTATTGTTTTCCCAAGATATCTCTTACTTGAGCAAGTTTGCTGAGTCTCAGTGTACCATGGGTATGATAAAGTTGATAAGGAAGACGGGTTTGGCAGTGCAGTTAGTGGAAAGAACCCTGGCCTTGGAATCAAGAGGCCTGGGCATGCCATTAACCCTTTCTTCATCTTAATCTGCCCGTGTGTAAATTGGAGAGGATTGGAATAGACCAGTGGTTGTGAATCTCAGTTCAGAAAAGCATAGCATAGCTAGGAGGTGTTTCGGGAACCATCATGGGTACAAGGAGAAAGAATAACATTTGTCTCTAGGTCTCCACTGCCTGTTTAACCAGAGGAGCTCTGCTGTTACATCTTATATGTATGATATTTTATATAAACTTTCTTACGTTAAAAAGTCCATTGTTTAAAAATAAAGTTTCTTAAATTTCTATCACTTGTACTTTAAAATTCTGTGGTCTGATATTCTCTTGGCATGAAGGGCCAATTGATGGTGCTGGTGGTGGGGACCAGGACGATTGGGGTGGTGGTCAGAAAGGTGGTAGGGAAGGCGGAAACAGGACAAGTCTGCACAACTGATATTAGAGGTTAAGGTAAAGCTGTGGGTCTGGAGCCATGGAGGAGGCAGATGTCTCCAAGAGACCTTCTTTATCTAAACCTCTAGGACTCTGAGTCTACACGCTATGCAAATCAGAGTTCTCTGTGTGGTTAAAAACAGGAAAGCAGCATTCAAGAGTTCAGTCTCCAAGGACAAGAGGTATCCTTCTCCAAGTCAGGCATATTTAGGATTCTAGACTAGCAATCTGGACAGCAGTAAGGTGAGACGCCCAGACAGCAATCATGCTATTTTTCTTTATCAGGATGCTCTTTATGTTCTTTCTGTTGGATTCAGTGGTAAATCTCAGGGGAAGAGAACTTATCACACAACATTTCCTCATACCTGCCAGGTTCCAGGGCATAAATCCTACAGTGTTTAATGTGGAGACAGACACCTTGAAAGATTCAATGTTTAAATCATTTCATTAAATAGGTTAGAAATCTAAGGCCATGATCAGATAACACAGAACAATTTAGGTATTTATTATATTTATTATTACTCAGGCTAAGTTACCATAACAGAAATACCAGAGTTGACTTAAATAAAAAATGTACAATATCTATTTTATGGGAGTCCAAAACTGGGGAGCCCAGGGCTAGAGGGACCACACTGCTGCTATCTTCAAATGTGACTTCTGTCTGTAGGGCCAAGGCAGACAAGGTGAATAAACTGCACCAGGTGGACAAGATTTGGTCACATAAGTCAGGGTGAAGGATCAAAAGCTCCAAGACAAAGGGAGGAATAGCTGATAGTCAGGCCTGGGTCAGGAGTGCAGGCAGCTTTGATGAGCATTTCTTTTTTGAGACTGATCAGGCCAATGAGGAAGCTTAACCATTGCTAACTGGATGTCATCCGAGAATCTTCTGGAAAAAAAGGGGCCATGTCTACTGAATGTGCCAGATTCCCACTTATATTTAAAACTCTCAGAAAGGTCAGGACATATGAAGTTTGACTGGAGATAACTCACAACTCAATAAATCCATTCCTTCTTTCCACTATGTATAGATCCTGTATGGGGCCCCAGATCCTGGGTCTATAGGATTCAGATATGTGCAGAGGAGAAGAGAGGTCATTTTGCTCGAAGGAGACAGAAGAAGGCGTGATGTAATAAAGGCTTTGACTTTCTTTTATTTATTTATTTATTTATTTAGGAAAAGTTTGGTGATCCCAGGAGAAAACTAAACTTTTTTTCTTTTTGAGATGGGGTTTCACTCTGTCAACCAGGCTGGAGTGCAGCAGTGCAGTCTCAGCTCACTGCAACCTCTGCCTCCTGGGTTCA
This sequence comes from Homo sapiens, assembly GCF_000001405.40. Lineage (NCBI taxonomy): Eukaryota > Metazoa > Chordata > Mammalia > Primates > Hominidae > Homo > Homo sapiens. The sequence goes on along the minus strand of NC_000002.12, from coordinate 16,957,251 downwards.
AGTGATTCTCCTGCCTCAGCCTCCCAAGTAGCTGGGATTACAGACACCCACCACCACGTCTGGCTAATTTTTATATTTTTTGTAGAAATGGGGTTTCACCATGTTGGCCGAGCTGGTCTCAAACTCCTGACCTCAAGTGATCTGCCTGCCTTAGACTCCCAAAGTGTGTGAATTACAGACGTTAGCCACCGCACTTGGCCAGAACTAACCTTTGGACAGTCCTCCACGGGGAGACTACACTGGAGAGGTCACAGGGAGACTACACTGGCAGTGGCGAAGTGCAGCTCCTAGATTTCAGACCAGTAGTCTTGATGTTCCAAAACAGATCATGCTCAAGAAATCAATATTCCTCTGGTAATTGTAAATCCTAACAGGAAGATAATGAGACAGCAAGAATATTTGATGAGAGAAAGTGATCAACCAAACTAAGAGTCCTTCTAGACCTCAGTTGCCCCTAATAATAACTAATATTCATTCCTGGTCTCATTCTAGCCACTGTGCTAAGCACTTCATATGTACCACATTAAAATACTCTTATTATCCTCATATTTTAAATGAGGAAGATGCATAATGGTTAAGTAACCTATCTAGAGCTATTCAGCTTTGAAGTGATGAAGCTGGGATTTTAATCCAAGGTTTTTGGCTCCACAGCTTGCCTGACTGACCACTAAACTCTTCTGCTTGTCAATACTATTATTTTTCTGTTCTGGGTTTTTCTTATCAATTGATCATTTTCTTTGTCTATTTTTGCCTTCCCAGTAAAAATATAAGGCTTTTAAAGGCAGGGACTTGTGTTTTTCCCTCCAGTTTTTACCCGATTCCAAGCATATAGTCAGTATTTTGACAATGCCTGATTGACAACTTATTGAAGTTATAGCCTTACAATCCTATTAAAAATTAACTGCACATTATTATTAAAGTCAAATATAAAAGCATTCTCATCAATTTCCTCTTCTACTTTACACATAAATTTCCCACAAATTATATTAAGAGCTAACAGCATCAGCTTCATCACACCTTCCTAGCTGAAGTGGCCAGATAGCACCATCCATAACCACTGCAACACTATTCTGACCTGAGTTGACACCAATGAACAATCCTTGAAAAGTGTGCTTCTTTGTGGCTTCTTCTGTTGGCAGCATTTCACCTTTCAGTCAGTTTCATCCTGTACTCACTGGAATATTGCATTGCTGAGACCTAAGATTAGTTGCTTATGGAAGAAAGAGTGGGCGTTTGCAGCAGGCTCTGTTAAAATCATTACCCGTTCTTTTCCCATCATTGCCTGGACCAAATGCCTGGATTCGTGACTGTGTGTGAAAAGCAGTGCTCAAATTCATAATCCTGTCCTTTAAAATAGATCTTTCTAGATGGAGAAGAAAAAGTGGAAAACATGTTCTTGGCGGTTATTTTGGGAAAGTGGCCTGAGATCATAAGGGCCATACTTAATAAGTATTTGTTGTATGAATGTGTGAATTGAAAATGTTTGCAGAATTCTCCATTAAGAAGATGCTGTTCCCAGGGGATTGGCTTTCTACCAAAGGTAGTTTCCTTGCACTTAATAACTGCCACCTTTCTCTTGCAAAAGCCATCAATTTCAGCAGGTATTTCTTCATCTAGTCTTTTGTTTCATCCATGTATCACTTACTAACTGCCTTCTATTGATCAAGATCATGTGAAATTTGGATGCAGAGATGTTATAAATATGGTTCTTGAACACACAATTATTTGTTAGCTTTTAATCCTTGATTTGATGTCTCTGTGTGCAATTGTTACATGCATTCTTATTTTAGGCAGGCCTTGAAAACTCCTGTAGTAAAACACAGATGCCTTGTCAAAAACTTCTCTGCCTAATGGCAGAAGTGATCACAGGAATCCCTTTCTCATTTTATGAGCCTGACACCCTGGCCACAGCAAATTGGACTAAAGATGAGTGGCTGTCTGTACATCAGAAAATTCATCAGATTGTATCTCTTGGGAAACCCAAGAGTTAGTCAGGAAAAAAAAATTGGTTGCTCAATCCATCAAAAATATTTTTTTTGAGTAGGCACCCTTTATTAGTCAGGAGAGTTTATGCTTTTCTTCAGTAACAACAACATTATCTCGGCAACTTATCCTAACAAAGGTTTATTTCTTACATACTCTTATGCAGTGCCAATGAGAACTCTGCTCCGTATAGTGACACAGGAACTCAGACTGACAAATGGCTTCACTACCTTGTGGCCACACCAAGTGAAACATACAAGCTCTCTGGTCATGTTCAGGGACAAGAGAGGCTGGACAATCATCCATGGGCTTTATATGACCTTAACCTGGAAATATACATAACTTTTTCTCAAGTTCTATCCCCCAGGACTAGTCATATGAATCCACTGAATTGCACAGGGCTGATAAATGTAAAAAAGCAATATTTGGAAAGCATTCTCTCTGTCACACATGACTAATATTTTATATTCATGTATTTTTAACTTAGATGTCTATCTTAATTTATGATATATATTATCAGAAAGCCATTCAATGTAAAAAGTGTAAATAATAAAAACAAATGGAAAAAAATCCTCTATATTTTCTTCCTGCACTCTGTCTAGTCTTGCACACTCAGTGGAGAACTCCATTGCAGAGTTCCTAATATATCATGACATCCTGGTTCCCTCTGAGGAATGGCTGTATTGCTGCTGACAGAATTCTCTTTCTTTTCCTCTGCCCTCATGCCATTACTGTGAATCTCTATTTATTGACATAACCTAAGTTTACCTTTGTTCCAGCAACCTGAAAGAGCTTACCTAACAAGGTTCCCCTCTGCCTATCATCTCTAGGACCCATGGAACATTACAGTCTAGAAATGCCATCCAGCTGTTTTCTGTTTGAGCAAAACAGCAATGTTCAGGCCCCTTGTTCTTTCTTGGATGCTTCCCTAAGTCCATGTGAATCCCTCCTGCATGCATTTCTTATGGTCCTTTATACCACAGTGCCCATCACAGAATAATTATTCAAGGGTAATTCAATGATAATCATTCAGCCTCAAGGCAAAGTTGATCGATAGCATAGTAGTTCTCCCTATCTGGTGGTCCCTCATACATAGAACCACAGATTTTTAGGAGGAAAAAAAGAATTTTGAATATAATTCAGTACAACACTTTTATTAGCTAGATGAGGAAATTAGGAAGTTGAGGCCCAGCTATCTTGACTAGCTTAAGGTCAAACAGCTATGTGGCATCAAAACCCATGATGAAGTCAAATGAGTTTGATTCTTGGGACTTCCCAGGAAGAGTAGTGGCAGGGGACACATAAATAGAAAACACAAAAAATTAACAAATCCTCAATTTCACTTAATTTTTGTTTAGCACTTTCTTTTGTCTTCTGTGATAATTGAAATCAAAGATACAATAGCAATTAGGACTCAGTATAAAAATAAGGGCAGATAATATTTGGTGACAGAATGGAAAAGAAAACACTGTTTGAAACAACACTTCCATCTGCTCCAAAGAAGTCCAACATAACAAACCCACCAACATCTTCATGAAACATAACTTAGACAGTAACCACACAGTAATTCAGACAGTAACCTTGGTATTTATAGAGAAGTCCACTGGGAAAGAATAATTTCATTTCCAAGGACTTCACCAAAGTGAGACCTGACTTTGCAAACAATGTAATTTTCTGGAAGATTCTTGAGAATTTTTTTAGTATTTCATAATCTGATAATATTTGTAATTCTTGTTATGTCTTAAGTTATACCTTTTTTTAATGGACTTCCCCACTTTCATTAAAAGACCCAAACAAGTAGAAATGACATAGTGAATTTTATAATTCATTCATTCAAGAGTTTATTGGATACTTACTCTGCAAGCTTTGTGCTAGCTGCTGAGGACAAAACAAGGAACAAGGAAGATCTGTTTCTGTCCTCATTGAGCTTACAATGTTAGTTCCTAGGGAATCCACATGTCTGTTTCTCTGCATCTCTGGAATGCTTGAGAAACCTCTATTTAGCACCTAAGATGAATTTCAAGTACAAATTGTATTTCATATTATAGTCTAGTGTCCTAGTGCAGAGGTCAAAAAAACAAAACAAAACCTGTCATTGAGGTGAAAACATCTGAATGTGAGTCCCAGCTCTGCCACTCACTAGCTTTATTACTTTAGACAAGTTACTTTGATGATTCAATGGTGATTAACAAACTTCTACATCAATTAGCTATTGCTGCACAATAAGCTACCTCACAACTCTATGACTTAGGACAAGGGTCATTTATTATTGATTATTTCTCAGCAGCCTGTAGCTTAGCAGTGGGATCAGTTTATCTGGGCATACCTGCTGCCCTGGGCATGTCCTTCTCAAGGAAACGGTCAACATACAAGAGCTCCTAATCTACAAAACTAAATGATGGATGTAAAGTGCTTACTACATGTTCTCCATAAACAGCAGTTATTATCATCACTCCAAGTTTCCCCTTTGATATTTGACCAGCTTTCTTAAACATTACCTTGGTCTACTGACTCCCCCCCTCTTACCTTCTAACACAGCATTGAAGGTCCACTTCCTCCAATCAGGCCACCTCCTACCTCTTGAGAAGAATCTAGACTTGGTTTGTGATTTTGGGAGATTCTCTGAACCACCACTGGAAGACCCTCTTGCTCAGAACTCTATGCTGCCTTTCTTAGGCTCTGCCTCCCAGCTGTGACAAAGCTGCAATGACAACCTCTCCCTCTGGCAGCCACACTGACTAGTGAAATTCTGAGCAGTGTATGCTAAAGAGGATGCTAGCACTCCTGTTGAGAATGCATTGTTTGTGTTATTACAATTAATTCTCATAACAGTTATGTATGTAGTAACAGTATGTAGGTCATTTTCATTACTCCTTCTCCAATAGATGAAAAAAGCTTTGACATACTTCATAATGTTTGACTATTAAATTAGAACAAAATTATTATTTCTGGGTTTTATAGGAGTTAAAAAGTAACATCCCTCTTTTCCCCACTGAAGTTTCCTTCTTGAGTATCAACTGAGATGAAGATGTCAGACAAGTGGAGATCAAAATGCCAACATTAAAACTAATAAAGATGAGAAACTTATAAACTTAGCATTGATAATTTGCTAATACCGAGCTGTAAAATTAGACAGAATTATTACCTGGTAAAGTCAGTTCTGGAATATTTCAGGTCTCCCTTTTGGGGGCAGGTTCTTAAACCTATGATGAAGAGGGAACCTGTGACAGGAATATCCCCCAACAAATAAAAGAGGTTCAGACTTTTTTCAGTTTCTGCTTCCAAATTTGCTGAACAGACAATTGACTCCAGTGAGGAGACAAAGGAGAAGGTATTGAGAGATGCAAGGGGTTTTACTAACTGAAGCCTCTCCAGGTGGACCTGAAGCAGAGAAAAGGAGGTTCTCATCATGCTTATTACAACAGTAAATGCAGATTACAGCACTTCAGACATCTTCCCTATTTCCTACTGATTCCTGGGATTTTTGACAATCATCCCAAGATGGAAGGCTTAAATGTTCCAGCATTTGCATACTGTCATGCACTAATTATTCCACTAATAAAGGTGATATACTCTGTAGGTATATATGACCTGATAGGATAGCTTTCCTATCCTATCAGGATAGGAATAGATTAATATTTCAAAGGCAAGGGTAATATTATTCTCCACCTCTAAATTTTTGGGATTATTAGAAAACATAGATACTTGGCTATAGGAAAGATAATCATTTATACCTACTCCCCTGCTATGCTGTGGGGGAAGGCATTCTGATTCCTACATATGTCTGAGCCAAACTGTACTCTGTCTTGAATATGAGAAGTGGTGTTCTTCTCCCCCATAGAAACTCTTGAATTCATAAAGAAATGAAATATTTCTTGAACTATGTTCTGCCAATGTCTTCGTATTTTTTAAATAATCATATAATCTTCAGATAGCCATGACTTTTAGGGAGGAGAGACTGGGTATATTAGAGATTGAGGCTTAGAGAGGGAACATGACTTGCCCAAGGTCATATCGTAGGTAAATTCCAGAGTTTGGATTCAAATCCACAGCAATCTGTTCCTAAATCAGTGAAGCTCTTAGAAATGGCGTATTTTAATACTTATAATTGCATCATTGAAATCCTCCAGTTTGATGTTTCAAGCAAGAAATAAATTGGAAATAAACATGGGCCCACAATGTATATAAGACATGCATGCAGCTCTTGTTAGACTTGTCTCCTTAGGATGAGGGAGGCATCCCTAGGAAGTGGATGAAAAGGACATTATTTAGCAAAATCAAACAAACATCAGCCCAGCAACAGCTTTTTGTTTCTGCAAGCCTCAGTGTGAGTTTTCAAAGCAGGGGGCTGCAGTTTTCTTCACAGACGGGCATTTTGGGTCATCAGTTTCTCAGCTGTATTAACTGGAATTACTGAAGTGAGAAGAAAACATGGAAATTATTCGAACTCCTGGTGGTAGCCTCCCACCACAGCCCTAGACTATTCAAAGAGTGGCCACCCCCCACTATGTTGGGCAGAAGATGATTGTGTGCACACTTTGTGAATCACCCAATATCAGACCAGCATGAGCACTGTTATCAGATCTTGTGGGGACAGAAGACAAAGGGAAAGCACCAAACATTATCTTCTTGGCCCTTCTTGGATGCAGTGCATTTGAGCTTTTCTTATCTTTACAAGTTGTTTGGGTTGCATTTGGTAGCTAAGATCTGAAGCAATCTGCTCAAACATCCCACAAGTAGGCATGGATCCTCAGTAATACGTGCTATTTATACACACATGCACATACACACATACACACAATTCCTCTCTATCTCCAAAATCTTCATCTTTTTACTTCTTTATCATGGCTTCTTTGGGGCTTACAAAGACCTAGCACATGCCTGATCTCGACTGACCGCATAGCAGCTCCATGGGACAAATAATGTTACCCCATTTTACAGGCAGAGGGACCAAGGTTTAAAGAGTTGCACCTGGCCTGGATCAGTGGAGCAGTAAGTGGCAGGCATCTGTCAGGGCCAGGGTCTTCACTCTCTAACTCCTGTGTGTTTGAGCTTCACCCCAGAGTCTGCAAAGTGAAAAACTATTGAGGTAGGATAATGTGTTATACTCCCTAGCCTTCCCTCCTCTCTAACTCACGAATTTCTCAAGCCTCCAGAGAGGACTCAGGAAAGCTCAAGCCCTGGCAGGAAGCCACCTAAACAATGCCGAATTGCCATTGAGAATGGGACCCCAGGAAGAGGTGAAGCGTCACTGCAGTACCTCCACGATTAAAAAAAAACAAACAAAACAAACAAAACAAAACAAAACAAAACCACAAAGACAAAAAAGGAATGGGTGATCACTGTTTCTTTTCTGAAAAGGGAGATCAAAATGAAAAAGGATAAACTTAACTTATAGTAAAATAGTAAAATACCCTGTAAGCTATTGCTCACACCCAATAACCTCAGGTTGAGTAGATTGTCAAAAGTGCTTTCTTAAGAAAACCTTGTTTTGCACTTTTGGAATCAAAATAATCTTATCTTTAGTTGCAGAGAAACAGGACACTTTGTTCCAAACAAATCCTTCTTTCTGGTGCTTCACAACACAATTGTGATAACAGGGGACAAAACACTTAATCTTGATTCTCTTATTTCATCCTCCCTTTTTTCTTTCTTCTTTCCCTCCCTTCCTCTCTTCCATCAACAACCCAGTGAGAAATCTGTACTTGGCGTCAGATTCTACACAGAGTACCAAGTCTTGGAAAACAAAATACATACGTCTGTTTAAATAAATCACTATGTCTTTACTCATGGCCCTTTTTTTTTTTTCACCTAAAATGCTGCCCTCACATCTCCACTGATGTACTTTCCATTGCTCCCTCAAAGGCCCTTTCCAGTGTCCTCTACCTGGGAAAGTAGATGCTCAGTGTCTTAGCAAGAGGGTCTGCATTATTGACATCTTCACAGAATACAAACATGTTTACTTAGTAGACAACAGCTAGGCAAATAACAGGTTGTCATTTGAGAATGGTAGGAGTATGTTCTCAGTTGTTTTATTGATTTACTGATAAAGGCCAGTATAGACCATTCACACATCTTAGTGTGAATTTTTATGGCCAAACAAGTCAGTTCGCACGATCCTTAGAAGGTAGCGGTGTGTGTGTGGGTGTGTGTGTGTGTGTATGTGTGTGTGTAAGACAGCCTGGTATGTGAAATTTAGCTGCTTAGAAAAATCAGACATTCTAAATGGGGACTAAGAAAAATATTTCTCTAAGAGCACCCATGTATCAAGTAACAAGAATAAAGAAAGCTTTTAAAATAAAGTGGGTCATGAATATGATGATGATGATGATGATGATGATGATGATGATGATGTGTGTGTCTGTACAGGAGTGTTGGGGGATCCTTATGCTCTCCAAAGTCAGAGTTTCACTTCCTATGGCATTAAAGTATTAGAAAGTACCTTCAACACACCAATTTATTTGAGTTAATTTTATTTTGATTCATAAAGCAGCCAAACTTGCCCAGAATCTCAGGATTTTCCTTCTAAGGAGAACTCTTTTATTGGCTGCTTTTCTTTTATAGGCAAGAAATGGCATTAAATGTGGACAGATTCTAGGACATTCTAGAAACTGTGGTTCATGATATGTTCCCAGTATGAGCTAATTCTCTTAACGTTTTCCAATTTATTTTTAAAGAGAAAAGAAAAGACAAAACCCATATGTTTGTCTCTGATTGTTTAGCTCTTGGATAAACATTAGCTTCCTTCACAAGCTGCCTAGGGTTTAGACAGATGGACTCTTCCATATCTTAACTTATTCCATGAAACCAAGAATGCTTTGAAGTAGATAATTAGTATTATGCCTATTTTACAGCTAAAGAAACTGAGACAGACAGTTCAAATTAATTCACCCAAAGTCTGACAGGTGGCAAGCAGCAAAGTTGGGATTCAACTTAACCATTACACTGCACTTCCCCTCAGTAAGAAGCAGACAAGATGGCGCCAGCCAAGTGGAAAATTCATTTGCATAATAAGATTAGGGTGGGACGACTAGGCTTCCCCGCACGCTATGTAAACATGACACCTGGTTGAACCAATTTGTGGGCCCTACATAAATCAAACACCTCCTCCTGAAGCCTGCCTTTAAAATCTGCTGTGGTCTGCTGCTTTTTCCTTTCTGGACGTCTCTCTCTCCAGAGCTGCTCTCCTCTCTTTTCTTCTTTGTGTTAAACTTTGCACTCATTAACCCACTCTGTGTGTGTGTGTCTGTGTGGTTAATCTTCTCGGCATCAGATGCTGAACCCCGGGTATTTAACCCAGAAAATGACGCTGCTTCAGACTTACATATAAAGGGGAGTTTACTAAGGAGTATTGACTCACATGATCACAAAGTGAAGTTCCACAATAGGCCATCTGCAAGCTGAGGAGCAAGGAAGCCAGTCCGAGTCCCAAAATCTCAGAAGTGGGGAAACCGACAGTGCAGCTTTCCGTCCATTGTCGAAGGTCCGAAAGCCCCTGGCAAACCACTGCTGTAAGTCCAAAAGTCCAAAAGCTGAGGAACTTGGAGTCCGAAGTTCGAGGGCAGGAAGCATCCAGCATGGGAGAAAGATGGAGGCCAGAAGACTCTTTAAATCTGCCCTTTCCATCCCTGCTTTTATGCTGGTAGCTGATTAAGATGGTGCCCACCAAGATTGAGGGTGGATCTGCCTCTCCCAGTCCACTGGCTCAAATGCTAATCTCCTTTGGCAACACCCTCACAGACACACCCAGGAACAATACTTTGCATCCTTCAATCCAACCAAGTTGACACTCAATATTAACTGTCACTTGGGTAAATCAAAAAGCATATGTAAGGGAGGTGTGGGGGATGTATAAATAGTAATGCAGCATGAAATACTATCAATAACAATAAGGTTTTTATTGTGCCTAAAGTAAATATTTAACATTTGCCAGGTGGTTAAATATCACTCACTATCACCAGATGCAGTTTTATCTATGGGAAAACTAAGAAGGTAATACCAGGTCAATAAAGAAGGTAATATGGACTCCATTGTTCTGATTATTGGTACAGTGATGATTATAATAAATGCCAATCCCACCCAGAATATTCACTCCTACAAAGCAGTAAACTGAGTCATATTTGTCCAGAAATGGTGGTTCATGGGCCAATTTTTCACCTTAAGAAATTCTTTTTCAGGTCCTCTCAGATAACATAATCATGTGAAGAGAGGCCTCTTTGTTATTTTTTTGTGTATATTGCAAAAAAAGGCCAATTTACCAGCTAATTGTCTATTTTGAAAATTGACATGCAGCTACTTCTACAGATACCTGATCATAATTACTAACAGGAAAGTAATTTTAGCATTGCCTAATATCACAATTGTTAAAATTTTCTGAACACCTATTAGTTTGGTATGTGTTTCATCGTTAAGTGGTCTAGAAATTCACTGTGTTAACATTAAAATGAAATGACTAAAAGTTCAGGCTTTACATTATAGGAAATCTAATAATATTTTATCACTACCCCACAAAAGCACACTTAGATTTGAAAGTGATTCTAAGAGGATCCAGCTCTAAAAATAGGTAAAAGAAGTAAAAAGAGGCAAAAATAGGGTGTGTGTGTGTGTGTGTGTGTGTGTGTGTGTGTGTGTTGTGTTGTGTTTCTCTACAGGCACATATGCTTTAGTTAATTCAGAGTATATTCACACTTAAAAGTCTGAAACATTTAAGAATCATTATATGAATGTATTACTTAGTTAGAAAAAGTTATAGAATATTATAGTTGTTACCACAGTATGTGGTTCTTTCTGAAACAGATAAAGGGGAATTTATGAATATTTAGCATAGAGTTAGGAACATAGAGACCTGAATTCTAGATCTGATAATTTTCCATATGTGAGTAACTATGTAAATATGAGCAAGTTTCTCTTTTAAAATTTTTCTGTATCTTACATTTCCTTTCTATAGAAGCCAGATAATAAGTATTTTACTCTTTAAGATCAAAATAAAATAATATGTGGGGATGCAAGTTGAAAAGTTAAATGTCTTCCTTACATTCAGGGGAATGTTATTATGTATTTTAATAATACATTGAGACAATAGAGCATAAAGCAGTCATCCCTAATTGACCCCAAACACACACTCTCACTTGATCTTCACACTGATAAACCTGTTCCACTTTGAAATATCCGAACAAGGGCTGCTGCTGATGAAGCTCATTCTCCTAAGGAGAACCTAGAAAGAATCAAATTGCACCCTCTCTTGTTTTGACCCTCAGAAGTTGGAAGAAATGAGTTGGTTCTAGGTGTCTGGCCAGCTAGGGTGAAGCAGGAGTTCATATGTGAGGTTTAATGTCACACTCCAAAATGTTAAATGAAAAAAGATAAAAGCATAAGTGTGAATTACTAGAAGTACGTGGATTTCATCCTTCAGAAAGCATGTACTGGAAAGAGAATAGGATATAATTCCACTGTTAAAAAATTAATTCCTACTTTTACAGTATAGTCAATGAGATAATTCTGCAAGTTGATGTCTAAATGTATCAAAATATGTATATACATGTACAAACTTGTTTTCCGGGACACATAGATTGTTAGAATTGAGAGGAAACTTTGATTGCCTGTGTTTAAAACTTCACTACACAGAAGAAAAGCAGATGCATATCTCCATAGCAAGGTAAAATTCCATTTCTATTCATTCAATCTTCATTAAAGGCTTAATAAAGCATTTGCATTTTGTTAAAAGAGAAGTGAGAAAACAATCGAATAAGATGTCAGGAGGTTTACCAAATCAGAGATGAAATTTGAATACATTTGTAAAAGATATTTGTATAATTAGTCTATTTAATCCGGTATCTATGGAAACAAACATATTACTACCTAGAATAGATCATTGTTACTTTGGCATTAGTTTAGGACAGAGCCCATCTTTCTTGACACCATCACATTGCCAGAGCCTAAAACCTAGGTCTCTTTTCCAAAGATTAGCCCCGGACATGTAGGAAGATGGAGCAGTGCTGACATTTGATCAATCTGAGCTCCCACTTTCCAAACCATGTGAATTTACCACACTGTTTGCCTGTTCCCAAAGGTTAAAATATAAATTTCAACTACATGCTTTTTAAAAACCCAAAGAACCAAAGGTTACAACAGGAATATGATGTCAATATGGGTAAGTTAAAGACTCAGTTCTAAGTTAGGTAAACTTGGAGTGGGTCTCCCTGCTAATCTCTATTTCAGTCACCAGCACACAGGTGATGGAGCAGGAATTCAGCTCCAGCAGGCATTCAACTTCCAGGGAAGAGGCGGGAAAATCACAAGGTACTCTACAGGTGAGGGAGATTTACCCCAGTACCGTTCCTTACCCTAGTGTGTCCAATCAGTTTGTGTGTGTTTTTGTTTGCACATACTTTACAATTTCTTCAGCACCAGAAGGCTGCTACTTAGAACAGCCCCTGACCACTTAACCACTGGTAAGTCTAAACATGAGATATAATATTTTCTTTCAATTATTAGTAGCAAGCAAAGAAAAGATGGTGAATTCAGCTTGGCTTCCAGTAGCAAAGAGATTATGATGTTTTTTGCTGCCAATTTAACTTTATTTAGACTTTGACTGGTGAGACCTAGGAGGATCCTAAGGAATTTAGAATACACGAATCGTTCAAAGAAAATGAGAAACAGTGTAGCTCATTTATCTGTCTTTTCTTAAAAATGTCATTTAGGCCTTTTCCATGATTACAAAACACCATTCTAAGTCCAAAAAGCTAGATACTATTAATACATGCCACCTGGAGATTCACAATAGTAAATAATAAAATGGTATACATATATATATGTATATACATGTGTATATGTATATGTATGTGTATATGTATATATATACACACACACACACACACAATGGGGGTCCTATCATCAGATGCTTGCATTTAGGGTTACTATAACTGGCTATGATTCATTATTTTACGGTTCCTATAACTGGCTATAACTGGCTATGATTCATTATTTTACACTTTGAAAAATGATTATTGAACACCTCCTCAGTACTAGGCACTGGGGCACAGTTCTAAGCATTGGGGATATAATGATATAAATAAACACATTCTCTGCTCTTAGAAAGTTTACATTCCAGTGAAAGTTCCCAGATAATAAACAAATAAGTAAATAAATAAATATGCCAGGTGCTAGGTGGTGCTATGAACGAATATAAAGCTGAGAAAGGGCTAGAAACTGACTAGGGAGTCTATTTTATAAGGGTCACTAACAAAGGCCTCTCTAATAAGGTGCCATTTGAACAGAGACCTGAGTGAATTGAGAGCACCAGCCACATGAGTGTCTCAGAGAAGACATTTCTAGGCAGAGAATAGTAAGTGTAAAAGGTTTCGAGGAAACACCTGTGGGTGGGTTGTTATTAATCCTGTCAGATTCGAAGTAAGTTGGTTCAGGATAGTCTGCTCTCTGATGAAGACTGGCAGTTCTGTAAAGGAATTAGAACAGACTGACTCAATATTCTTTAACTGGGGACATACTGGTCTCACGTTCTGCCAGCTGGCAATGCATTTCCTACCCTTTACTCTGCACTACCATGTCCAGATTTATGTGGTCCAAGTACAGTGTAAACAGAAAACAAAGTCTGTATCTATATCTGTCTATTAATATAGTTCTAAACAAAAAATGAACACAACAAGAGGCTTTGTCAAAAAAAGATTGTGCAGTTCAAAATTGAGCAATCATAGGAGGTAAATTACACAAGTTGTTTCACACAGGTGGCGACTTTGGAAGATGGCCCAGGGTCTGTCAGACCTGGAAATGTGCAATAGGATTACTGAGTACTTCCTAAATACAAGGCACTGTGTCCAGTGCTGTGAAGGAGAAAAAACAAAATGAATGTGTAATCCATCTCCCTGTGGAGCTACTGCCTGGTTAGAATGATAGCAGTCCTGACCAGGTCTCCATGAGGCTTCCAAGAAGAATAGGCCATCCCAAGCTTTGATCTTAGACATAAAACAGTGGAGAGCACAATTCTACCATCTAAAAGCTGTGAAACCACAAGTGAGCTCTTTAACACTACAGAAACTTAGATTTAACAGGGGCATTATATCTACCCCAAAGGCTTGTTGTGAGAAATAAATTAATGTTCAACAAGAAACTAACATTGTGTTAGATGTCTACTTCTGTGGTAGGAAGGCTATTTACTCCTAGAAACCTAGGAATGTCCTTCAAAATGGTTCTTTTATAACAGACAAATTATCCAAAATAGTGCCATCACTCAATATAGTCATCCAAACACCTCAATATATTGGTGCAATACACATGAATTTGGCATGACCTGTGACCTTTATTTGTAGCTATTATTGTGCCTATATTTTGTGCAGTTTTACATTTTAAATAGGAGTTATTGTCATGGCTCTCTGTGAATATTGTTCCTTAAATATATCCATTTTCACCTAGAATACATAACCGTCAAATCTTTTATTTGCCAAAGAAAGCTCAGAACATGTGAATACAATAAACTTACATGCTCAGTTAACCAGCTCTATGTTAAATAAACGTTACTGTGCGCTAGATCCTGACATTTCCTATTTTCCAGAAAAACATACACTAGTGATGGGCAAGAGATAAAAACAATATCTGTGACACAATGTTATAATCACTAACGCAGCGATACCCACACTTACGAGGAAAGAACTAGGGTGTTATTAACTCCTTTCAGGTACTGGGAGTCCCCAGGACATTCTGGAGCTCTTAAAGAAAGTGGGAGTAGAAATAGTATTTAAAAATCTAACTGTATATGCTAGGTAGATGAGAGTAGCCCACAAGGATTTGTAAAATAAATGTGGAGAAAGAGATAGATTCAAAATACTAAAAAACAATTGGCACTTAAAAGACCAGAGGGAAAAGTTGGTGAGAAGCCTAAGGAAAGGTTAAAAATGGAGAATAATGAAAGAAGAGAGATTAACTCATGCAAACCTTGAAGCCATTGCATCCGTTAATTCCAGAGAATTTCATTGAGGACCCTCTATGTCTCTTACATTGCTTGATGCTGGAGATGCAGAACTGAATGATATGTGATCACAGAGATAAATGCCAATGGCTTCCTATCTTATTTTTCCTTGAACAGATTGCCACTGGTTTTCAAGTGGGAGTTTGTTTCTGACTTCTCTTACTGATAACAAACATTTGTCGTCGTCTTTGATTTTTCACAAGGAAGAACAAATGAGGTGGAAAAGGTTGAGATCAATGACCCAAACATCGTTGTAAGCCAGAAGATGGACATAGAAGCAACATACTTTAGAAAGTGAGATGCTAAGGAAGTGGATGTAGAAGCAACATGCTACAGGAAGTGACATGCTGCAGGAAGTAAATGTTGCAGCAAAATACCATAGGAAGTGAGATGCTATAGGAAGTAGATGTAGCAGCAAGAGGTTACAGGGAGTGAGATGTCAAAGGAAGTGGATGTAGCAGGAAGATGCTACAGGAAGTGAGATACTATATCCTTTATTGCTAATGAGATGATATTTTGACCATCCAAATAAGAACACATATCAACTATGCCTCTCTTGTCAAAAACATACATAGGTATTGTAATAGTAAAGGACTTTAAGAGAGATAGAACCAATAGAAATTGAAGTAGGGGAAAAAGGGAGAGAGAGTGGTTTTAAGAAACTGGCTTACATTATTTTGGGGGCTGATTAAGTCCAGATTT
The DNA here is from genome assembly GCF_000001405.40 of Homo sapiens. Taxonomy (NCBI): domain Eukaryota; kingdom Metazoa; phylum Chordata; class Mammalia; order Primates; family Hominidae; genus Homo; species Homo sapiens. The sequence goes on along the minus strand of NC_000002.12, from coordinate 16,941,584 downwards.
TGTTAGTCAAGAGGATGGAGACCCAGGGAAGAGTTGATTTTGCAGTTGCTGTCTGAAGGCAGTCTGGAGATAGAATTCCTTCCTTCTTGGGGGACCTCAGACTTTGCTCTTAAGTTCATCAATTTGTTATAGGACTTTCTCCTTAGTTCAGCTAAAAATGGAGTCCTTGTCAGACGACCATGAAATACTAGGCTTGCAGGCACTTTGAAGGGTGAGAAGGACAGGGTTTATTGGGGGAAAAGGAAATAATAGAGAAACAGGGACTCTTAGCAAAGCCAGAGTCCTGCTAGTGGGCTTCTCACCTAACCGATTGAATCCCAGGTTCCACCTCAGAACAGGAAAGGCCAGGATCCTCCCCCTTGCAAAGGGCGTGAACTTCCAAGGCTCCACCCTGTCCTCCCAGTGTGCAGGCTGATCGGAGTTTCTCCAGGGACCCGTTTATACTTGGCTGTTTCATATTTATTAGATGAAGGCCACTCACATTATGGAGGATGATCTGCTTTCATCAAAGCCTACTGATTTAAATGTTAATCACATCTAAAAAAAATACTTTCAACAGGTGTTTGACCAAAGAAATGAGCACTACAAATTAGTCAAGTTGACACCAAAAATTAACCATCACAGTTCTCTGTAAAGTTTTAGCCCCTGAAAGAGCTTACAAAGAACAAGGAATGAAAACAATTTTCTAAACTGGCATGATATTTTAAGCCAATAGGCCATAGGTTATTAATGAGGTAGTTAATGCTAACAATAAGCACTTAACTTGTTTAGCCATCCATCTATCCATCCATCCACACATTTATCCATCCACACATCTATTCTTCTGATGAATATTTATTGTGAGCATCTTATTTGTCAGATCCTGCCATTTGAGAGAAATGACCAAGTTGTGAACTTGTCCCAAATATATTACAATTAGAAATCATTTTTAAGCCTGGAATAGCCCTTAGAAATAATCTAATCCAGCCTCTTCATTTTAGAGAAATGGGGAGCTCTGACTCCTGATGAGACAGTGTATTAATCCTAGAGCTGAAGTTCTGCCTCAGAAAGTATGGTTCCCACTCAATACTCTTTTCCCTAAAAGAAAATTCAGACACTTTTCATATTTATGGGCTTGACTTCATTTGCCAACAGTGGTGCAAGCCTCCTGAGAGTGTTTGAGTTTCATTGTGGTATGAAATGAGTCACATCCAAATCTTGAGAAGCATGGTACTGTGTAGAATTGTCCAGAAAAGCAATGAGACCCCTTTATCTGCTTCTGTGTGAACTCGATAGCAGATTTTAAACACAAATAACAGATCAACTTTTAGTCTTCATACCTCAGTGAGAAAGAAGACAGAGAAGGGAGAGTTGAGAAAGCAGATTTGTGACTCCATAATACTATTGTGAGAAGATGGTGGAGCTGAAGAAAGAGGGTCACCCTTGGCAGGGAGAGGAGCCTTCTATGTAAGTCACATTGGTGGGTGTGAACTTTTGTTTCCCATTCCTAACCAATCAACCAATCAGCTCAGCAATTTTTTTTAAAAAAATTGTTATTTATTTATTCATTTTTGTATTAGAGACAGCATATTGCTATGTTGCCCAAGCTGTTCTGAAATTCCTGGCCTCGAGCAATCCTCCCACCTCTGCCTTCCCTGGAATTATAGGCATGAGCCACAATACCCTGCTAGCTCAGACTTTTGAAAACATCTATCCTGACTGTGTTGCTGAACAGCTCATTAAAATAAGAATAATAATAATAATAAAGGACATTCATAACAAGACTTCCATCTAGAATTTAGCTTCTTCTGAGAAATAAATTTAATAAAACTAAACCAAAAAGCCTAGTGCTGTTTTACTAATTCCCTGTCTTTTTCTTGTGAATCTATTTAAAGGAGGTTTTATTTATCTCTGAACAAAGCAAGACAAATTGTCACTTCCTTAGAAAGTAGTCCAGGTGTGTCTGACCCACTGAGGCAACTGCAAGTGTTCTACCAAAGTGGACAGTGAATTGTGACATGGAAGTGGCACTGCCTGAAAGGCAACTTCTTTTGTAAGTCAATCTTTGTGAAGTTCCTTAATGAAGAGTTTCTTCAAGCATAGTGGAAAAACATAAATAGAAAGGCAAGATGTCATTGAAATATGTACTGGATTGGATTTTCAAGTTGCCATTGCATGTTACAGTTCTCTCTGGATTAATACAGAGATGAGACACCAATAATGCTAGCACATAGAATGATGGCTATGCACATCTCTGGCTTGGCACTAAAGAATATCTTCTTGAGCGAAGCTGATAAAAGCTAGGAGCAAACATTATCCTACTGCATTCTCTCACAATCCTCTCAATTTCAGCCACCTCTTACCATCCTGTCAACTAAAGACATTATCAGTAGAGAAATCAGCCTGCCACTGTGACCTTATTCTGAGCAATATTTTCCAATCTTTGGAAGACTTATCAGTATCTTGTGACATTCTGCCTGATATCTTGGCACTTAGCATGCTCCTCACATGCAGGCTTAATAAATCACATTTTATTTTAAAAATGTGCCAATTGTGTTAGTTCCTGAAAAATAATTAAGAATTAGACGTAAGGAAATGGTGCATTCCAAGTAGAAAAAATTACGATTATAATGCACTTGATAGCAATTAACTCACCCCTTCTTCCATTCTAGTTCAATGGCTGGAAACAGATAAGTGCTATGATGTTTACAAAGAGATAATAACTTACAAGTTAAGATAGGTATAGTCTGAAGGGAAAATGTGGGCTTCTTTTGGAATTTATTAGACTTAACAATGTGTAAAACAAAGGCAAACCAAAAAGAAAACAAGAGTCATGAGTTACATAGTGTATTATAATATCTGCCACTGGTGATTATTGTGTTTTTTCACAGGAAAGAGGAGGAGAAACCTTTAAGCTTAGCAAATATCTGTCTTGAGTGGTTCTGTGAAAAGCTGGAATATCCTTCCTGCTATTAGCCAGTAGAACTGCTTTAGTAGAAACCAAAATGAGATTTTATCCATTGTAGAATAAATCTCCAATTATTCCTGTCAGAAATCTCACTCCCCACTCACCTACGATACAAACAAATAACAAAAAAAAAACTTAACAGTCAATATGCTTAGGTGAGAATTTTACTTAGTCCTGAATTCTCAAGAAAATGAACCAAAAAGAGATGAGTATGAGGTGCTGAAAACAAAAGACTATGATAAAGACACCTCCTTTCAAAATAAGTTCGGAGTTTGTTGTTGTTTGTTTGTTTTGCTTTGTTTTGGAACACTTCTATCTGAGGAGCTCTTTTCCTGGAATAATGAACCATATTTGCTTATTTTCTTATATTGTTTGTGTATGTGTGACTATGTGTGCACACACGTGTGAACTTATTTTTCGTTTTGATGTATGTGCTTCTTGTGGGAAAGTCATCATTTTTCAAAATACTCAATATGCAGAACAATTGTCAATAGGAACATGGAGAACATGGTCATTTGCTCCAAAAACTCTGAAATCTTTAATCTCCATTTATCTGTGTAATGACTTGAGATTTTGATTTCCACAAACTCAAATTTGTGATGTTATCTAGGGATTTTGCCCATGAACTTTAATACAGCATTCTTTGACTCAGCCTTCTCTGCTCACTTCCTGGTTCAAACTTCACTTCGTGACCCCACATCCCTATTTGGATGATGTCTCCTAAAGCTCCTGCACAAACCAAGTTATTGATTACTCAGACAGGGTCTTTCCATTGCCTCAGCCCCACTCCCCTGTCCCAGTACCTTGGGGTGACAAATCAATGGGTATAATTGTATATAGAAGCAGATGCAAATAATAGGAAGGCTGCATTATTTGAGCTTCTATTCCAGATTCCTGTCCAAGGTGATTCAACAAGAGTTTTCAGCCCATAAGGAAAAGTAGTAGGATTCCATTTGCATTACAATAACTAGATCAAGACTAGGCTCATAGCCCAGAATTAAACTTCAAGCTAACCCAACTCACAAAGGCTTGCTTCCTATCTATAACTGCTTCTGCACCTTACACACCTGAGGGGAAAGCAACCTACCTTCTGAGTGTGTCACTTATGTTGGCAAATGGCTCCTTTATAAAGCCATGGGAGACATATATTTAGTGTAGGGGTAGTTGCATGACTAGAGTAATTTTAAGCAAATTGCTTTTAAAATTTCTTCATTTCAGCAGTCCTGTAAAACCAATAAGTATTACAGAGAATTATTTTGCCCGTGTAGTACTAGAATGGGCCAGGTACCTATACTGATAGCTTTAAAATATGGGCCCAGAAGAATGTCAAAATTTGCCTAGAGTCAAGCCTTCCCCTCCCTCCCTCCCTCCGTCCTTTCCCTCCTTCCCTCCTTCCCTTCCTTCCTTCCTTCCTTCTTTCCGTCCTTTTCCTTTCTTCCCTTTTTCCTTCCTTCTTTTTCTTCTTCTTCCTCCTCTTCCTCTTCCCCCTCTCCTCTCTCTTTCTCTCCATGTCTACAGTAGAGAAAAGTGCCAGATAAAATTTCAAGTGATAGAGGAGAAAGTGCTGCTCCAAGAGATACAAGACTATCCAAAAAGAAGAGAAGATAACTGACAAAGGAAAAGAAAACTTAGTCACCTCCCATTCTGTCAGCAAGAAAAGTATTCTGTAAATTACCTATGTTTTCAAAGAGACAGAAAAGACTGCATATAGCTGATGGTTGCTGTTGGTTGAAGAGACCCAGAAGGGAGGAGTGGAGACAGCAGTGCTGTCCCTGAGATATAGTCATGGCAGGGGAGTAGACTTGAAACAAACTCTTTCAGAGTCAGCTAAGCTAGCACTGTGGGGAAGAAGGACAGTAAGGTTTTGTAACCTTGGAAAACTAACCATTGAGTTAAAAGTTAAACCTTGTCTTTCAATTAAAATTTTTTCTCTAGTTCTGCTGTATTTCTAGCATCCTGAGAGTGCTGAGGACATTTGGGGGATATCATCCTAGCCACATGAAACTAAAATATCATCTTTGTAGATTGATTGGAAGTTGTACTAAGAAACATTCCATAGTTTTATAAAACTCAGATCTCCCTGAATATGAGTCACGCAGACTCACTTAGCAGAGGTAGCATTCTATCAAGGGTGACAGGCTGGATTGCACTCAGGCCACAGATATAAAAATATTTGATTCAGACATGGCATGGTTTACTCTTGAATTTAAAATTTTAATTTGAATGTTCCTTTTGCAATGAATAAATGCCCCAAATCTAGTTTTTACAAGCATATGGCAATGTCTCTCACACAAGTTTTCAGTCTCTCACAGGCTGTGAGAGTTAATAGCAATAGAAACAACAACTTCTTGGTGTTTTTAATGGTTTACACAATTCTTTCACATATATTATTTCTTAAGACTTTTATAACAACCCTATGTGGTAGGCAGAGCAGGGAATATAATTATCCCCCTTTCACGCTTGTGGGAAATGTGGCCCAGGCTGATTAAACAGACAGCCCAATGTCACGTCATGGGTTGTTGATGGGGCCAGACAAAAGATCCAGATTGCAGCTGTTGGTTCCAGTGTTCAAATCATTCCACCATGGTGCTGTGACAGGGCTCTGTTGTTCAGCCTCCTCTTGAGAGTAAATTTAAAATTCTTTAAATCACAAAGACCATATGTACTTATCTTCAGTAATAACATCAGACCAGGAGAATAGATAAAATGTGAAAGACTACTTTGCCAGGCTTTAGGAGTGATTGCAGTGAAGGCCCCTCAGAAGACACAAGGAAAACAAGTTGAAACTCTCACCTACCACAGAGAGAAAGGAAAGTTCTGGTGCCTGCTTGAGCTGAAAAGTCACTGAATCATCTGCATACATTTAATTAGAAGACAGAAAAAAAGAGTTTTAATGGTTATGACTGGCTGTCAAGTGATATATTCAAGCAAACGTCTAGACAACCATATTCTCCACCCAGTGCCATCTCCTGTCAGCTATGTTCCCAGTTTCCATTATCTCATACAGGTTCAAGGTTGCTTCTGCACCAGAAGTGGCTGTTGCCTTAACAGAAACACCAGATTCCTTCCCAGCATGAGTATGACGTCTGTTCATGAGGCCATGATTTAGTTTGTTCCTTTAAGTTCTTGTGTTGATAGGCTAGGCTGACATAACTGGGGTTGTGGAAGTCAGTTTCCTAGTGTAGGAACACTAAAGAACTTCTGTGCCAAGGTTCTCTTACTTGCTTACTGTTCTTAGTTGCCACCCAGCAAAATAACTCATGGTCCTAACAGTGCTGAACTACTGAAATAATAATAAGTAATTACATTTTTTCAACAAGTATTTACTGAGTGCTTACTATGTTCCAAGCACTGTTCAAAGGGCATTATGCATATTTATTCATTTAATTTTCACAACAGAATGAGACAGTTTTAGTTATTATGATCCCCATTCTGTAAATGGAGAAACTGAAGCACAGAAAAGTTAATTTGCCAAGGTTACCTGCTAGTATTGGGGAATCCAGGATTCCAAAACCAGGCAGTCTGAATCCAAAGGATCTGAATAACAACAGGACATAGAAACCTATCTCGGGTATTACTGGAGAACCTAGAACAAGAGTTTTCAACCTTCTGGGACAGGAGAATTCCCTCAGCCAATGTGATCTGATTTCCTAAATGAAAATACAGGATTCTGTTAAATTTGAATTTCAGGTAAACAACTTTTTTTTTCTAGAATAAATATGTCCCATGGAATATTTGGGACTTATCTGAAAAAGTATTATTTATCTGAAACCCAAATTTAACTGGGTGTTCTGTACTTTGGCAACCTAGCCACCACTGCCACCCTGGTTCACAAGTCTATTCTCCTTACGTTTTTAGAGTTGGGCTGTTGGAGTGTTCTGGTTATAGTTAGATCATCTCAAAGGTGTTTTCTTATCAATTTAGATAGGTAAGGCCAACTAAATTGAACCCTCTGGGGTTTCTTCATAAGCCTTCATGGTGAGCTTGAGATCTCCTGATAACTCATCCTTCCCATTCCCCCCTCCCAAGTAAGCTTCCTGAGAGATGGGACGTCTTTGCACTCAGGCAAGGAAATACCTCGAAGGGGGTGCCCTGGACAAAGTTGTCTTTGCTCCTCATCTCATATGCAGTTTTCCCTAAAATGAGATTCATCACCAGCCAAAGCTTCCAAGTGTTGAGCCTCTTTTCTATTCAGCAGCTATCAATGTTTAGAATCTTACCCTAGTCCAGTTTCCTTTCCTGTCTCTTTAGAAGTTGCTGTGAGCTATGAGAATATGATCTTGGCCTCCCGTCCATTTTTAATCACTCCAAAGCCAACCTCCTGTCACGTGTGAAATTTTCCAGGAAGTTTTTACCTTCCAACCCAGTTGGTCGGTTCTGCACTCCATTCCCTGACAAGTAAATTCCCTGTGGCCCTTCTCAGAAATGGGTGTATTATGTGTCAACAGAGACTTATGCCATTGCCACCATTTCAGTAAGAATTTCTAAATTCTAAAGAATTTCTGAGTTTCTACCCTTCACTTTTAGGCCAAGACCACCCAAGGTTTTTACACTGAGCATACAGTGAGCACCCAGGAACTGCTTAGAATCACAAGGAAGGAGCTCTTGTGTGAAAGAACTTGGCTGATGTTTAAGTTTCTTGACAGGCAGTGGCAATTAGGGAAAAGTGATCTCCAGACATGTTCCTACGGAACAATTGGTAGAAAGGTTGGCATCTTACTGGCACACTTCTGGGGTGATTTTTGCTATCATAAAGAGGCAAAGTAAGAACTAGGGATAGCAAGAGCTCTTCTAAAAGTATAAGGCCCAAGATCTGCATCCCTAGACGTGTCAACAGATCTGAATATTTAAAAACTTTATTCGGAAACTATTTCTCTCTTTTCTGAGGGAAAGAGGGCAATGAAATTGCAGAAGTAGAATATTAGTTTTCTGTCACGTTTAAAACCTTTTCAAGTTGGCTAATTAAATTATACCTTCCAACAGAGAATGCAAACACAATTTCAGGTTCTAATCTCTCGGTAATCAAGTGTTCTATTATTAATGTCCTCTTCCTTTTTCAGGGCTTAATTGCTCATTGTACTACATGTGGCATTGATTAGCAGTAGCAAGAGTGTGTTCTGTTTTGTTGGCTTGTGAGAAAAGGGACTATAAAAAGGCACTGAATCAGAAAGCAAGCTCTATCCAGCTGTGATATGGTGTGCGGGGGGTTTATGTCTGAGGAAGCGAAGCCAGCCAGCTTGTTAAGTTAGAAATAACAGCATAAAGTTCTATATTAGCCTGTAAAATAAATATTCTCAATCAAACCTAACCTAAAAGTCACAGAGAGGTTTTCACATCAATGATTTGTGCAGAGATTTACAGTTTATAACACACTTTTCTGCGGGTATCATTTTGGTTAAACTAGACCATGAATCTGTGAGTTAAACATTTTTATCTAGATTTTACATACAAAAAGGCTGATGCTGAGTAAGGTTAGGTAACCTTTGTCAGGTCACATAGTTGATGTGAAGAAGGTGATGCCTGAACACAGGCGTTGCAATTTCAAACTTTGTGCTCTTTCCATTGTATTACACTGTCTCCCAGCAACAAGGAGTCGATTCAATATAATTCAAACATTTACTGGGTCAATACCATGTTCCATAAATTAAGCTGGGTGCTACAAAGGACTAAGGAAATATTGACAGACACAGACAGCTATAACAAGACACATGTTTGACCATGATGTGTTGTATTACAAATACAAGGTCCCGAAGATTCAATGAAGAAAAAGGTACTCAAGAAGGAATAAGCCTTCAGAGAAAGAACTATTTCAGTGAGCCTTTGAAAGATAAAACACATTTTGACAGTCAGAAAAGGGGGAAGAGGGAAGGTTCAGCGAGGGATCTAATAAAGCTTGGTGGTAAGAAATTTTGCATTGGGGAAAATGTGACAACGCAATTTATGAGATTGTAAGGTACAGTAGAAACAAAGATTGACATGTGAATTTGATTCACAAAAAGAAATTTAACTTTATTATGTAAACAACAAAACTTTGATTAGTTCTCCCAAAATATCACTAGCACAGAGTTTTCAAAATGACTTTTTTTTTCTTTCTAAATGTCAGGGGAAGAGGGCCATGAAACACAAGTGTCAGCCACTAAGACACACTTGGGGTATGACTTTGTGCTTGAACAAAACTCCTCTAACAGGAATGTGTATTGTATGAGTAGAGGCCCAATAACAAGGCCACAATCACTTTGTCACCAGTACCTGGAACTTCCCATTCTGGGTAGAATTTCCTTTCCAAGATCTGGACCAGATAATCTCCATGATTACCTCCAACTCCAAACTTCTGTTCCATATTTTAATAACTTAAGCCAGCTTTTGGGAAGGCAAAGTTAATTAATTCACTTTGTTTCTGACTGCTCAGGACTCACTGAGTTTTGAAGGAAGGAAGGCATTAAGACCAAGGAAATAATTTCTCAGGAGAAGCCCCATTAATTACAGCTCTGCTTATATATACATTACCAGATTGACACACCTTCCTGGGCCATCTGTGCTCTGCTCTCTTTCAGTGATGAGCCTGGTATAATTAAAAGCACTTTCCGTTTTTATGATTTTGGGTAGACGATCAAGATGATAGAGAACAGTATCTTTTTACCAACTTTTCTTAACAATTTTCTATTCCTGTTTTCATTTCTTCCCCAGATGCAAATGAGTTCCACACTTTGTGTATTCCTACTCCAAATATGTATCAGAAGGAAACCAGGAGAAAGATCAAAACCTAGAGATCTACAGGTTCCAGGCTGTTGTAATCTTTTTCTCTGATCCCTACAGGTGTTCCCCTACTGTGGATAGGACAGACTCCACAATTTCTGGCGTTTGCTGATTACTAAGTTATTAATTAAATGTTTCTTTCTCCTAAGCATTCATTGTTATAGTAGGTAGCTAGCCAGGCATGCGCAGGGCAGGAGAGGGCTCTCCCTGACTGACACATGCAGCAGCAATGCCAGGTGACAATGAGGTGATGGCCAGGCGGTTGTTAACTGTCTCTCTGGTCACAGCCAGTACCAGGGAAATGCAGTCTCCCAGTAGACAGAAACAGCTGAAACTGGTGATCAGCAGCTTCCTAATGAGATCTCAAGAGCTGGGCAAGCAAGTGGGCTCATGCATGCACACTAAGAGGCAAAACGGTGGAGTTTAACTGGTATATGACCTTCTAGGAACATTTGACTCTTAAAGGAAGAATGTCTCAAGTGAGTATGCGCACAACTCCAGTAAACACACTGCATGTGGCCCCTCCCAAGTGCTGGTAGGCTACCGTGCATGCGGACAGCCCACCACCACCACAAGGGAAGAATAGGGGAGAAGGGACACAAAACTCCAGAAGTATGCCAACATATAAAACCTCAAGTAAAAGGTTAAACAGGGCATTTGACTCTCTCAAGTTGCCAGCATGACCTTCTTCCAAATGTACTTTACTTCCTTTCGTCTCTGCCCTAAAACTTTTTAATACTTTCTCTCCTGCTCTAAAACTTGCCTCAATCTCTCACTCTGCCTTATGCCCCCTCAGTTGAATTCTTTCTTCTGAAGAGGTAAGAATTGAGTTTGATGCAGACCTGTACAGAATCGCCACTGGTAACACCATCCATCTCCTAAGGGTGGGAGATCACGGGTAATAAAAGGTAGCATAAAATAGTAGTTAAATGCATAGACTCTGGATCAGACTATGTGCAGATTGTAGTTAGTGTGTGATTTTGACAGGCACTTAATTTTCCTGTGCCTGTTTTTTCATCTCCAAATGGGATGGTGAGATCAGTAACTTTTTCTAGGTTTCTTATGTATTCAATAAATTAATATATAGGTAAACGACTCAAAACAGTAGCCTGGCACAGAAAAAAGACTTTATACATTTTAGTCACTTTACAATTATTAGTTTACAATATTCATCTTTTTATAGAATAATTGGCCAAGAATGCCAATAACTGGAATAAAAAGTAGAATATGGCAAATATAAATTGTGAATTTAGTAAATACAGCAATAAGACAATTAAAATAGCTTAAAATAGGACATCAAGAAAGAGTTTACAAAGGAAAGAATATTTGAATAAATGCTTAATGGATCTATGTTCCAATCTCTTTAATTTAAAAGTCCTGAGGATACGTCTGATGTCATTTTGTCTTGCTGCATTCATCTCATGGATAGCTAAGGTCTTCAAATCATGTGCCATTATTTGGGGGCTCTGTTCCTATAGAAATCAAGGAGCTCTTGAACTTACCAAATAATTTCTGTGTTAAAGGTGAAAGTTAGAGTATTTTAATAATTTCTACTGTACCTGTGCTATTATTAGGTTGGTGCAAAAGTGATTGCAGTTTTTGCCAAAATTGGATGAATTTTGCACCTATCTAATAAAATGAAAACACAGCTTAAAGAGACCAGCATAATTTTTTCTTTCCTTTCTGAGAGATGATGCATTTTTTTCTGCCCTTTAAAAAAGAAAATGACTATTCATTATTTTTGTCATGCTTTTAAAAAGTCTCCCACATTAGTGCTGGTATAGCAGTACAAGTTTTCATCCAAATATACCATGTCTTCCTATTTTCATCACTACTATGGAAACTAAAATTTCAAATTTCACTGATTTTGCTCTAAGAAAGTCATCACCCTTTTCAGTCTACAGTAAACCTGTGATAAACCCTGCATGGTCACCTCTCTATCTTCCTCTCCATTCTCCCTGTCACTTCTTGAGTTTAGACCTCCATTGTGTCTCATTTGAATCTTTATGAGAATTTCCTAAATATCCATCTAGTTTATTTTCCATAGTACTGTTATCTTTATAGTATAACATCTGATTGAATCACTCTCAAAATCCCTTGAAGTTCCCTGTCTTCTGTCAGGGGCACTCCCAAGCTGCATAGCACAGCATACAATACATTTCCATTTTAACTCCAACTAATCTTACCAGCTGCATATCCCAGTATGCCAGCCTACACACCCTGTGTCCCAATAATACTTTCATTTTTACCTTTTCTAAACACAGCATATATTCAAACTATTTTCATCATGTAGAATGTATCTGCCTGGTGAGCTTGTCTTCGTCTTTTAACAAACACTTCAAATATCATTTAATCAGTGGAAATTTTCCGAGATGTCCCCAAACACATAGTTGCTATTGACACTGCTGGGTTGCACTTCATATACTGTATTGCTTAAATTTGGATGACTATATGAGCAAGGACAATCATATTTCATATGTTGTTTCATCATTTATATTGTTATATTTGTATATTATCTATATAGGTCCTTTGCTTTTCTATTCTATTGATGGCCTTTTTCTTATTGATTTGAAAGACCTCTTTATACATTAAGAAAATCAATCAATTTTTTTTGAGACGGGGTCTCACTCTGTCACTCAGGCTGGATCATAGTCACTGTAACCTTGAGCTTCTGAGCTCAATCAATCCTCCCCACAAGCCTCTGCAGTAGCTAAGACTACAGGCGTGCACCACCATGCACAGCTAATTTTTTAATTTTTTTCAGAGAAAGGGTCTCACTATGTTGCCCAGGCTGGTCTTGCTCTCCTGGACTCAAGAAATCCTCCTGCCTTGGCCTCCCAAAGCACTGGGATTACAGGCATGAGCCACCATGCCCAGCCAAGAAAATTAATCTTTGTAATAAGATTACAAGTAATGTTTTTCAGGTGGTCATCTGCCTTTTTTATTTATGTAATTTTGTATATTTCTACAAATTATGGAGTTAAATATATCAAACTTATTCTGCCATGTGAATTGGATTATTTGTTCAATAGTTTGCCTTCATTGTTACATAGTGAGCTCTTTTGACAAACACTATATTTACTAATTTTTATATCTTTATACCTAAAATTCTAACTACAAGTCAGATACTCAAAATTTGTCAACATTGAATGAAGGTGTTAGAAACATCATATATTATGGTTTAGAGAAAATAGACCAAGTAGAATGGGTTCAAAATGTAAAACATCTCAAGTTATGGAATCAGCCTAAATGTCCATAAACAGACACATGGATAAATAAAATGTGTTACATAAATACAATAGACTACTATTCATCCCTTAAAAAGAAGGAAATTTGGTCATTTGCAGCACCATGGATGGAACCGGAGAACATCATGCAAAGTAAAATAAGTCACAGGAAGACAACTACCACATGGTTATACCATACAAATGTGCATTCTTAAATACAATAATTTGATATTTCTCACGTCTTTAGATGCTAAGGGATTTTTCATCCCTGTTTAAAATCTAATATATTTTTTTAATCAAGCAGATTTGGTAGACTGTGTCCTGGTGTGGGTTATTCTTGATTATTTCCCAACTTATGTTGTGCTGTCTTTCATGATAAATAAAAAAAAAGAGAGAAAACTTTTACTTATTTCTTTCTCATCTGAATTCCTTTTATTTCTTTTTTTTCTTTTTTTCCCTTTTTTTTTTTTTTTTTGCCTTATTGCACTGGTTAGGATCTCAAGTATAATGGTAACAGAAGTGGTGACAGAAGAAAATTCTTGTCCTCAATCGTTTACTGAAAGCATTTGATTTTTCATCATTAATGATGATTTTAGCTGTAATTTTGTATTTTATTTTATTGTCTTTATTAAATTGAGGAAGTATGCTTCTATTCCCACTTAGAAGAAAGTTTGTGTCAAAAATGGATCAATGGAGCAACCTTTTTTCTGTATTTATTGAGATGATTGCATAATTTTGGATTTGGCATTTGATGTTGTGAATGTTTTGCTAGTGAGTGTCTAGATATTGTTGTGTTCCTTTAAAGAGATTTAAAGTTTATTTTTTCATGCAGTTAATTTACTGGAGGCCCAACTTGACCCTTTTGAGACTTGGTTTTAAGCTGTATAAAGGTGGTTTACCATAGGGCTAGTTTATTTCAACCTCGATAGTTAATAAAATGTAATCTTTCTGGGGTTTATAATGAATGTCCCTGGTATTCAGCTTGACTTTCTATTCTGGTAGACTGAAAGTTGAACAACTCTTAGTTCAGTGTTAGCCCCAGTTCTGTTTACCTTAGTAACCAGTAAGTTATCAGCAGCTGTTATTTCCCTGATAGCTGTCCTTTTCCTTGTCCCCTGGAATCTTACTCTGAACAAACTAAGCTTAGTAGTCAGCCAAAAACTCAAGGACAGTCCCATGCTAGTTTTTAGAAATCTTCTCTTGAATTTTCCTTTTTCTCTCATGTACCCTACCCTAAAAATTACATGCACTTCAGACTTCACTGAAATCTAATTCCTTGGTTCTTCAGTTCGGCAAAACAATTCTCTTGTTGGGGTTCCCCTTCTTACACCACAGTTCAGAAGGTGCCTCCCAGAAGAAACCTAGGGTGATTTTAAGGCTAGCTTCACTGATTTCCCTAATTAGGGGTCACATGCCTGTACCACCTACTGTCTAATATCCGACAACATCTGCTTTATGTTTCCCCCATTCTTTTTCTAGAAGGGCTACTCTGATACATAGTACTCCAACATGGCTCAACAGTGTACTCTTTCAGTGTTATTGCAAAACTTTCATGATTTTAGGAAAGTTTTCTTCAATGATAGCATGCTTAATATATTTGTTGTCATTGCTTCATTTCTTTGGTTTTCTTTCTCAGGAACTGCTGCTATTCATATGTTGGGTAGTCTGCCTATCTTCAAAAATTGTCACCTTTCTTTTTTGTCTCTTCTTTTTTATTTTCAATAATGTCCACAGGATCAAAATTTATCATTTTATTTGTGTCGTTACAATTTCCTCCGTTTTGTACTCCTCATTTATTTTTCTAATCAGGGGCATCTGTATTCTAGTCTGCCTTGCTCCTGCAACAGCTCTTTCTCTGACATCAATTATTATTTCTACAGCCAAGTCTAAATAAACAACATATTTGAGCTGTCAGTCTGGCTGAATTTCACACAGTATTTGCCACTTCTACCTTTTTGGGACCTTTACCTTTTGGATCTATGACACTGCTCTCTCCCAGAGCCTGGTACCCCTCCCTGGGTGACTAGATCGAGAAGAGAAATAGCAATCACTGCAACTCGGCTCTCAGAAAGTCACATCCCTAGGAAAAGGGGGAGATTATTACATCAAGGGAACATCTTGTGGGGGAAAAAAAAGTCTGAACAGGAGCCTTGAGCCCCAGATCTTCCCTCTGACATAGGCTACCCAAATGAGAAGGAACTAGAAAAGCAATTCTGGTAATATGACAAAACAACGTTCTTTAACACCCTCCAAAAATCACACTAGCTCACCAGCAATGGATCAAAACCAAGAAGAAATCCCTTATTTGCCTGAAAAAGAATTCAGAAGGTCGATTATTAAGCTAATCGAGGAGGCCCCAGAGAAAGCTGAAATCCAATTTAAGGAAATAAAAAAAAAAAATGATACAAGAAATGAGGGGAGACGTCTTCAGTGAATTAGCATAAATAAAAAAACTATCAAAACTTCAGGAAATAATGGATGCACTTAGAGAAATGCAAAATATTCTGGAAAGTCTCAGCCATATAATTGAACAAGCAGAGGAAAGAACTTTAGAGCTCTGACTATTCCTTTTAAGACCTTTTGTTGGGTACCATTTCTTCCATCCACCACTCAGTTTTTGGTTTTCTGCTCTTGGTTCATAGCTCTGATTACTTCATTTAGGAGTTCCCATCTATCCCCATGTATTTATTAATTCTGTTCAGTTGGCTGACAGTACATATCTTGCAAGAGCTTCTCTCTAATCTTTAGAAACTGACCTCTCTAAATCATTCTCACTACGTATTTCCTGGTTCAGGCTTTGTCAACTGGCCCCGTGTATGGTCTTTCTACTTCTAGTTTAAGCATCCTCAACTTTATTCTCTACATGGGCATTAGAGTTCATCTAAAACACAGATCAACCATTTTACTGTCATGTTTAAATTCCTCTAATTTCTTCCCATTGCCTTATTAATAGAAAATATTACATTGCTCTAAAGCCACCTACCTCTCAGCAACATAACCTATCACTACCTTTAGCCTTGCATTTTACATTCTGAAGTGCTGGGCTACCTCTCATTTCCTGTACACAGCATGTTTTTTCATAGTTTGTATATTTCTCAAGCTGTTCCTTCGCTCGGTGCGCTCCAGTTCCTTCTCTTCATCTTATTAATATTTCATACTTTAAACCTCACTGCAGGAATTATCTCTTCCAGTAATCATTCTTTAAGCATCTAGCCTAGGTAAGCAAACTTCCTCAGTGCTACACACCTCCTAACCTCTATGTCTGCAGTTAGGACATTCTCTACAACAATTGTTACTTGGCAGCATTTTTCCTGAATTGTGCAATCTTCCTAAGAACTACTTTGTATACCTATAGCTTATTACTGTATTGATCCCATTGCATGTTTCAATAATGATCATGAAACTAAACTTTCAGAAGCAATGTGGTCTTGTGTAGCCTCTGGCATATTTTATACATCTCTATGAACATTAAAGATGTAAGAAAGCTTGAAATCAGTAAGCACAACCTTCTCATTTTGTAGATGAGACATCTGAGGCCCACAGTCATGTAGATAACACATGAGAAATCCTAGACTGGAAGCAGAATATCCTAGTTATTAATCTGGTGTTCTTTTTAAAAATTATGGTTTGATTAAAAGTTATCAAAATATTTCCCCTGAGCATTAAATACTTTAAAAATTTCAGCCAGGCTGTGTTATACCTATGGTTAATACCAAAGTGATGCTTTGATTTGATTTGCATATTCCTTAAAATATTTATACTCATTATATTGAAGACATTCTATTTTATTCTGTATTTTAAATTTACACAAATTACAATATAAGTTTATCCTGAAACCATTGTCTTTACCTTTGGTGGAAGCAACAAAGTTTTGGCTTGTCTTAAAATAATATTCTATCTGGATAAGTGTGGTATTTTCTGTACTCTGTACCTTTTCAAAATATTGAACATTGTTTGCCAAACAGCATAATTGGTGGAATTATGAAAAGAAACAGGATAAGCATGATGTTCTCCTTTTTCCCTTTTTTGAGAGATTTAAACTATAGCCATAAGTTGAGCTATAGATTAGGATTTAAGTGTGAGAGTGCCCAGTGAAATAAAATAGATGCCTAAGAAAACAGATAAAATGAATAAATAAATAATATTTTATTTATACTGAGTATATTCTAAGTATGGGATTTTAGCCTTATACTGACTGTGTCCAATACAGTTAAAAGCACGATTAAACTTTGGAAAATTCATCAGAGTAAATTATCATTATAAACAGCCCTATAGTGTCTTCTAGCTCACTGCTTGAAATAGGCCAGTTGTTACCAAACTGATTAATCTACAGTTTATTAACATAATTTCTTCAAAAAATACCCCCAATGAGTTCTGACTTAACATTGTACCCTCAAGTTTTATTGAGGCTTTGATATAAAAAATAAATATATAGAAAAACCTCCACCATCTACCACTAAGTGATTGTGATGATGCTTATCTACTATATACACAAGCTCAGAGTAAAATTCTTGTAGAATTTGAGCTAGGGAAAAAATTATCTTCTTATAAACTGATATGTGATGTTTATACATTCAATGTAACTAAAACATTTACGTCTTCTTGTTTTGGATTTATCATTTGCAAGCAATAGAAACCAAATCTGGCCCACTTAAGCAAATGCAATGTTTAACTTAAAATAACAACAGAAAGACTGGCTCTTTAAAGACATGAATTTATTTGGGAATAAGTAGAGGATTATAATCTGGAATATATGTATGTTATGACAAATCATAGGCATATTTGAAGAGGTTGAGTGAGGAAGACTTTTAAAAGGCAAAAACAGAGGCCTGTGTAAGTTTTGAAACAAAACATTATTGGTACCAGGGGTCTGTTGTAGAAGTTGATGTTAACTCATTGGTGGAAACAGTTGTTAAGCAAATGTTTTTGCGAGGACAGCTTATCTGAAACGTAGTCTTGAGGAATTTTCATGAAATCTTCTTATGGACATGAGTAGGACAAGTAAGATGAGCAGGACACGTAGGTCATGCAGATTATTTTTTGTGGTGGGGGGTTTAGAAAGTCCTTGTGATGGTACTTATCTTGAACGCATGTATATAATGAGATCCTGTTCTCTTCTGTATACGACCTCCCAGCTTCGCTTTGTTTGGGGTTTGACATAAGTGACTTTATTTTGGCAATGAAGACTTGCAGAAAAGGCAAGCTATGGAAGGAAATAACACAAAAGGCTCCATGAGTCCTTTGTGAGAATTGTCCTGAGAATTGGTAGCTCTCAATTCCAAGAGTTATCAATTCCTTCCAAAGGTGAAAGGAAATGGCATCTTGCTTCAGTTCCCACTTATGACACCAAATTAGATCAACCTAATATAAAAAAAAAAAAAAACAAGAGAAGGAATGGCTCTCTAAGAAATAAACTTATTCAGGAATAACCATGGGTTTATAATCCATAGTACACATGCTATGATTAATCACAGTCAAATCTGGAGACGCCTGGAAATAGGGAAACTTTTAAAGGCAAAAAGAAGTCTACATAAGTTGTTGTGAAAAAAACATCATTGGTCACAGGGGCCTGTTGTAGAAGCTGGTATTAACTCATTGGTGGAAAGAGCTGTTTGCTAGGCAGGGTGTTCTTGTGAAGGCAGTTTATCTCTTAATGCTACAGTCTTGAGGAATTTTTTGTGCTGAGTCCTGTGTCAGACACACATACAGAATGAGCAGGGCATGCAAGAAGTGCGCAAATTTCTTGTGGGTGTTTAGTCAGTCCTTGTGATAGTGCTTACCTCAGACATGTGTGCATGAGATTGTCTCCTTCATGACCTCCTGTATTAGTGTGTTCTTACACTGCTATAAAGACATGCCCAAGACCGGGTAATTTGTAAAGGAAAGAGGTTTAATTGACTCACAGTTCCACATAGCTGGGGAGGCCTCGGGAAACTCACAATCATGACGGAAGGGGAAACAAACATGTCCTTTTTCACAAAGGGGGAAAAAACCGTTATAAAACCATCAGATCTCATGAGAACTCACTCACTATCATGAGAACAGCAAGGGAGAACCACCACCATGATCTAATCACCGCCCACAAGGTCCCTCCCCCAATTACAATTAAAATTACAATTCAAGATGGGATTTTGGGTGGAGACACAACCATACCATATCACCTTTCATATCTCATTTGCTTTCAGTCTAATGTAAATGACTCCATCTTGGCATCGGCAGCTTTCACTGAGTATACTGGAATGTCAGATTGAGTGTATTCAGACCTTATCAGAGGCAAAAACCAATGCCTATTTGAAACAACAACAATGATAGCATAGCAGTCAATAGTTTGATCAGGACACTGAAAGTGAAATAATTACATTCTAATATTTATTTTGTGTTGTGGACATTTACTCAGAATTCAGACTTTCAAGAGAGAGTGTTTGTTTGGCTGAATTTAGGCATTAGGCTTGCCCCCACTGTAGCCAGAGAGAAGCATTTGATCACTTGGACCCACATAGTGAAATGTTGGCACATAGATTTACTTTCCCACTGAGACATCACACAAGGAGAGAGGAATTATTTGCCAAAATCAAATCAGGGGGCTATTTGAGAGGGAGGAGTAAAGACTTGAGCTGTCAAAATGTGATGAGAGTCCTCTGTACCCAACTCTATTCTATCTGCTAGATATACAGGAAGGAAAAAGTGCTTGACTTCATAGAGCTTACAGTCCTAAATAAATTACCAAAAAGAAAAAATATATCAAATGAACTGAGTGTTATAAAAAGAGAAATACAGGTTGCTAGAGAAGAGGTCCTAACCCAGTTGATGAGAACCACATTGTTACTTCCTTTTTTCTGGCTTGCACATGATTGAAAAAAAAAATGATTTGCTAATTGTGTTTCTTGTTACCGTTGTTTCTTAGTACCCTCCTCATCTCCTTCTTCTAGTTTCTCATTTTGCATATATGTAATTCTGTTTTAATTAACCTTTGTTTATGTGCACAAAGTGTATATTCACATGCTTTGGGATAGAAACAAATATAACATCTGCCATTTATTGAACACACACTACTCACTAGGACCTAGAGACACAATATAATCCTAAGGCAAATGTTATTATTCATAACTTCTATGTAAGAAATGACAGAGGGTTGCTTAGAGGTAATGAATATCAAAATCTGGATCTCAAACCAAATCCTTAAGTGGGAGAATAGCATGTTATAAAATAATACACATAAAACTATAGCAAATATGTTTTGACTTTTATTACAGAAATGGGAAAATCATTTTTAAAACTCCAATAAATAATACAGGTAAAAAAATAAGCATATCCAGGATTATGATAACACAATTGTCTTCTAAGATATTTCTCTTACAGCTATGACTGGGATTTAAAAGCATGGACCGAAGTTCAGAAGACTAGTGTTGCCATTTCAACATCACCGTTTCTCACCTTTATGGCCATAGGGAAGTCACTTAAACCTATTTGAACATTGGTTTTTTATCTACAACATACAGACACTATTTTGTTAATTTTGGATGTTACAGAAATGCACTTATTTACTATTTTCATTTTTCTACAGGGAGTAGAAACATGTGTATTATAAATCTTCCCAGTATTTCTTCCTGTTTTTCACAGTTTAGAGATGTGATTGTTTATTTCAGTGACTTAGCAAAAAGATAAAATAATTCTTATTGAAATATGGGAATCACTTCACAGCTCCACTTCAGTGAAACTGGGGTTTTCTCTCCAGGCTGTGAAGTTTTGCACCATTTCTTCTGTAATTCACTGCTGACTTGGACAGCGGGCCTATTTTTCAGTGGGAGTTAACAAGCGCCTTTCCCAAGGAAGCATTTACTGGAAGGGGAATCACGTCTCTCACATTTTACTCTCCCTGGTAATCTTTTTAGTTAGCCTTGTCTCAACATTCATGGAGGGTTTCTGGGTGCAATGGGACTATTTTCATTCTCACTTTTTGAAAAAATAATTTAAATCCTTTGCTTTCCAAACTGCAGTGGCTGTGGGATTTTTCTGTAGGGAACTTAAGTGAGAAATAGTTTTGTGATTCAATGGGCCTGTGCAATGAATTCATGGAGTTATGAAGTGATAAACCACCTTGAGAATGAGCAGAAGGGGAAAAGTGCTGTTCAACAAGAAATATGCCCTGAGTAAAGATCAAGAATCAGTCTCTAGTTCTCTTAACCATCTCAACAACCCTTCCCTCAATATTTTCCCCTCTCCACTTCCTTCCTCTCTCTTAATAGATATGTTACTTTTTGACATATGACACCAAAACTCCTTAATCAAGCTCACATATTAATAGGGTAAATTGTACCAAGAATCTAATGGACACCTAATGACAGTTCCCTTGACTTTCCCCTACATGAATCTTATCAGATAATTTCCTTCATCTGGAAGGTAATTTTACAAATATTAGATAATCAACTAGTGAATTTTAGATATAATAATACCTTGAATGGAGAAACACTTTCCCTCTTTCTCACTTCCTTCCTTATTTCTTTTCTTCTTCTTCCTCTCTTTCTTCGCCTCAGAATAATCTAACAGCAAGGCATAAGATAGATATGGATTAACAAAAGTAAGGGGAATGGGAATATTGCCTCAGCCATAATGGGTAGATGGGTTACAAGCAATTGTAGTCAATACAGGTAGGATGTTGATGCTTATTTAAAGTATGGGTTTTATTATTTTGAAAATTCAAATGACACTAAAGGTATGATCACTTGTACAAGAAAAACAAACAGTAATGGGATGAAATTGCTCATAATGACAATTAAAACTAGATCATGCAAACTTGAAGAAAAATCTAAATGCAAGTAAATATATTACAGTTAAAAATTAATAGTACAATTGAACTGACCCCTCTTCTCAGAAAAAAACTTTGACACTGCCTCCAGAAGGTTAGTTTCAGAATTAACTTAGAAGTGAACTTGATGTCAAAGGAGAAATCTTATGTCATGTGCCATAGATACGGCTCAATCTATCACAGATGAAAAAGAACTAGGAAAGCTGAAAGCAACCATCAGGAGCTGCTGAAACAGGAAACTTGTTTACTGCAAAAAAACACTTGAGCAACTGGATGAGGATCTAAAGCTAAACCAGTTGGGCAAATCTATGTATCAAAATTTGGTAATTTCATTGGGCTTGTTTATTTTATTTTTAATAACATAAATTTGCAAAACAATAATATGTATTTGAAAGCAAAACAATCAGTTAAAATAAATTTAACTTTTAACAACATTTATAAGTTTGGTTTCATTTAGGAGGGCAAGTCTGGGATAGACAAAATTGTGACAGTGATAAAGTGGCCCCCTGTGTGGTCAGAAAGCACAGCATCATCCAGGTAAACCTCTCACCTCTGAGAGTCCGAGATTGGCTATTGGTATTGTAGGGTTCAAGAACAATACCATATTTTGAGAAAACGACATCTCCATTAATTAATTTATAACAAAATAGGAACAGATTTTGAAAGCTAGCTCTGCAGCAATACACAGTGGCTCCGCTGAGAAAGCTATTTGTGAGATTTCCTGAGCTGAGTGTTTTTTTGTTTCTTAATTGTAAAATTATTTTAAAATGGTAAAATAGGTTAATTCATTTTTAATTTTAGTAATGGAGGGGAGTGGTTCATAAAAATATTTTGGGTTTTTTTTTTTTCAAGCTTGAACGCTTTTTTTTTTTTTTTTTTTGAGACGGAGTCTCGCTCTGTCACCCGGGGCTGGAGTGCAGTGGCGTGATCTCAGCTCACTGCCAGCTCCGCCTTCCGGGTTCATGCCATTCTCTTGCCTCAGCCTCCCGAGTAGCTGGGGCTACAGGCGCCTGCCACCACGCCCGGCTAATTTTTTGTATTTTTAGTAGAGACGAGATTTCACCGTGTTAGCAGGATGGTCTCAATCTCCTGACCTCGTGATCCACCCGCCTCGGCCTCCCAAAGTGCTGGGATTACAGGCGTGAGCCACCGCGTCCGGCCTGGACCCTCTTAGTTAATAATTTTAAAGCAAAACTGTGGGCGATTTTGCTGTGCATTAAGAGAATTGCTATAAAGATGATATCTGGGACTTAGCTGGAGAAACTTGATTGTTAGGGCCCTTGGTGCTTAGAAAAATTTATTTATATGTGATTCAAATTAGAGTATTAATTATAAACATGAAAGTGATTCAGTGAAATCTCTTCACTAAAAAAGTATTTTGATAAACGTTTTCTTGCTGTTGTAGGAGGAAACTGTTCTTTGATTTAAAAAAATTAGCACAGCTATATCGCAACAGATTTGACTTCAATAAAAAATTACACTCATTGAAATTTCCATCCAAGATGTGTGAAAACCTTGCATCATGATGCCTCTTTGGCAGCACTAAGATCTTCACTTTTCATGAATTATGGGGGCAATACAAATAAAATGTTGCTGTTGTATGAACACACATATACCAGCTTAAGTTTATGAATTATTTAGAATAAATAAATAAATTTCCTAATTATAAATCTGATATGTTTTCTTCTCTCTTTGTAATTCAGTATCATCCTACCAGTAACTCACAAAATATGTATTACATTTTTATTCCAAATAGTTAGCCTAAATAAATCCATAGTAAAAAGCCTATAAAGTTATATAGCAAATGATTAATTTTGGATGTAGGGATTATGGAAAATTGAATTTTTACTTTCTGGAATTTCATATTTGAAATTTATTGACAAGGATATGTCAAATTTATGGTGAAATTTTAAGCTTAAAATATTTATTGGAATACATTTTAAATTTTTTAAATTTTGGTGATTTTTAAAGTTAAACACAAATAAAAAGGCATAATAGCAAAGATGCTGCAAGTTTAAACAAGGTTACTTTAAGGTGTTCCCTCTGGCTCTGGAGCTATTTGTTCCATTCAGTTTATTCTGTCTTTGAGGAAATTTTATTGCATATTTTGAGAATACAGTCAGCCTGTGTATCCACTAGTCAAAAATATTTTTTTAAAAAGAAGAATGGATGGCTGCTTCTGCAGTGAACATGTACAGACTTTATTTCTTGTCATTATCCCTTAAACAATACAGTATAACAATTATTTACCTTGCATTTACATTGTATTAGGTATTAGTAAACTGGAGATGATTTAAAGTATACAGGAGTTACAAACAATCCAATTGCACTCTTATTTAAAATGTACAATCAAGTTATTATTGACTATAGTCATCCTGTTAAGCTATCACTATATCAAAACATGTAATGTACCCCATATATATGTATATATATACACATATAAATACATACTATGTACCCACAAAAATTAAAAATAATAAAATTAATTAGAAATAAAGTCTATGAGAGGATGTGCATAGGTTATATGCAAATACTACACCATTTTATATTAGTGACTTGAGCATCTATAGACTTTGGTATCTGGAGGGTGAAGAGGGGCGTCCTGGAATAAATGTACCACAGATATTAAGGATCAACTGTATTTTATTTTGTTTTATTTTATTTTTGCCTTTCAATGATTGTAAAAGTTTACATTTTTTAAAATTTTATTATTATTATGCTTTGTTTTAATACATCATGCTGACTTTAATTAAAAATGTATTAGAAGCGTATATGACATATTGCAGGATGGGCATGGTCAATTTGTATCAGCACAAAAAAATCTAGTTAACTTTCCTAACTTCCTCTGTATTGCCTTTTTACATTTTCTGACACCCATTGAGTCCATACCCAATCCACATCACTCCCTTACTCCTTTTTAGGGATAATTGTTCTCATTACTGTTGTCATTCAACACATTTCTGGCCTTTAACCTTCATCTTTTCAATTCATCTTACTTCTAGTAAACTCTATCTCAAATTGAAAAGCTTTCCATTCTTCAGAGACTGCTAGAGAAGCATGACTTTGCCTTATCTGTCCCTTGGAAATAATCAAAGGGAAATTTCATAAGATCTTCTCACACAGGCAATCAACTACTATATGGATTACCATGCATTTAATTTAATATCTAATATTACCCTGCTCCAACACTGTATTCTATGAGGGATAAAAGAAATGAAATACACATTAATTTATTTGCGTTAAAGACAACTATATATCCCCCAATATCTGCTGTTCCCTTCTTTCTTGGTAATAGAATTTGCATATTTTATCTGTGTATATGGCCATCTAGAATACAGACTACATTGCTAGCTTCCTTTGAATTTAGGTATGTCTGTATGACTAAGTTACGGCCAAAATGATGTAAGGGGAAATGATCTGTCCAACTCTTTCTGCTGGCTTTAATGTGGTTGGGGTAGCCATCCTTGATGAAGAGGTCACCGTGGGAATGGCAGTCACATGGCAGAGCCATAAGCTTGAAGGATTAGGGTCCTTAATACAATGCAGCGCTAATGTAGCTGTATTAGTCAGGGTTCTATTAGGATACGTGTATTATAGGTATATAAAGGGGAGTTTGTTAAGTATTAACTTACATGATCACAAGGTCCCGCAATAGGCTGTCTGCAAGCTGAGGAGCAAGGAGAGCCAGTCTGAGTCCCAAAACTGAAGACTCCGCCCACTAACTCAAATGTTAATCTCTTTTGGCAACACCCTACAGACACACCCAGAATCAAGATTGCATCCTTCAGTCCAATCAAGTGGACACTCAGTATTAACCATCACAAGTCCACCCCTTGTTAACTTGAACCCATACACATCTCCTGAGATCATACATAATCTTCAAATAAAGACAATAATAAGTCATAATTATGCCTAACGTAATACAACTATTCATCGTACAACTGGAAAAGCACCAATCCCCAACCCAAATACTATTACATAAAGTTAACAATACTTAAATGCTGATGTGAAGTCAATAAATCTCATGTCACATGATAACAGAAAAGGAAATAAAATGAAGATATTTTCTTCATCCATTTGTACAATGTACACATGCACAAACATGTTTTTTAAAAAGGAAGGAGGAAATACTCATGAAAATAACAGTCCTCCTTGCTGCAGCTGGTCACGTGGTCATAGCTGGTATTTATGACTACCTTCTACCACCCATTCTGTATTCCCTTTGCCTTCAGCAAGCACCTCAGCAGGTCGTGGCTTTTTTTCTGGTAGAGTGACTCAAACTTTCATTCCTGAAGGGTCTGGGTCATTTGTAGTCCTGCCTGTATTGGGCTGTTGTAGTTTCCCATTGACCTTAATCACAGGACATGGTAATACTAAGAGACGCCCTACTGGATCTCCTGCATTCCATGCATACCCTTCCTCACCCAGTCCTGGAGAAGTAGACTGATTTCATCTTGATAGTCCAGGTCAATCACCCCAGCTAACCTTTTAACTCCCTTCTTAGCCTGTTACTTAAAGGTAGGAGAAGCCCAAAGTGTCCAGGTGGCAATCTTAACTCCCAGTTTGGCGGAATTGTTATTGTGTCTCCTGGTGGCAGCATTGCTCCCTCTGGAATGAAAACCTCTAGGCCAGCAGAACATAATGTCGCGAGAACAGAAAGCAACAATTTTGCTAGTGAATCACTAGGGGTGATGGTGAGTGATGCCCCTTCCACTTCTACCCTTTGATTCCTGGACCCATGAATCCTGACTATGGGAGAAATAATACCATATATTAGACGCTGATTCAGAGCATACACAGCCTTCTGGAGAACTTTGCCCCAGCCCTGCAATGTATTGTCACCTGGTTGGCATTGTAATTGTGACTTCAAAAGGCCATTCCACCGTTCTATCAATCCAGCTGCTTCAGGATGATGGGGAACATGGTAAGACCAGTGAATTCCATGAGCATGAGCCTACTGCCACACTTCTTTAGCTCTAAAGTGAGTGCCTTGGTCACAGGCAATGCTGTGTGGAATACCATGACAATGGATAAGGCATTCTGTGAGTTCACAGATAGTAGTCTTAGCAGAAGCATTGTGTGCAGGATAGGCAAACCCATATCTGGAGTAAGTGTCTATATTCCAGTGAGGACAAACCTCTGTCCTTTCCTTGATGGAAGAGCTCCAATGTAATCCACCTGCCACCAGGTAGCTGGCTGATCACCCTGATGAACGGTGATATATCAAGGGCTGAGTGTTGGTCTCTGCTGCTGGCAAATTGGGCACTCAGCAGTGGCAATGGCCATAGCCAGGTCAGCCTTGGTGAGTGAAAGTCCATGCCTCACCTCCGTCCCTGCCACCTTGGCCACTTTGTTCATGGGCCCATTGGGCAATGACAGGGATGGCTAGGGAAAGAGGCTGAGTGGTATCCACAGAATAAGTCATCCTATCCACTTTATTATTAAATTCCACCTCCACTGAGGTCACCCGCTGGTGATCACTCACATGGAATACAAATATCTTCACAGTTTTTGAACACTGAAAGAGGTCCATCCACATACTTCTTCCCCAAATTTCTTTGTCACCAATTTTCCAATCATGCTTCTTCCAAGTCCCCAACTGTCCAGCCAAGCCACTGGCTATAGCCCATGAATCAGTATATAATCACACATCTGGCCATATCTCCCTCCACGTAAACTGCACAACCAGGTTCATTGCTTGAAGTTCTGCCCACTGGGAAGATTTACCTTCAGTGCTGTCCTTCAGGGATGTCCTAGAAAGGGGCTGTAGTGCTGCAGCTGTCCACTTTCGGGGGGTGCCTGAATATCATGCAAAACCATCTGTGAACCAGGCCCTAGTCATCTCTTCCTCTGTCAACTGATCATAGAGAACTCCCCATGAGGCCATCAGTGCAGGTTTTGGGAGAGAAGGCAGGGTGGCAGGAGTGGAGACCATGGGCATTTGAGTCACTTCCTCATGTAACTTACTTGTGCCTTCAGGGCCTGCTCCAGCCCAATCACATATATACCACTTCCATTTGATGATGGAATGCTGTTGTGCATGACCCACTTTATGGCAAGATGGGTCAGAAAGCACCCAGTTTATGATAGGCAGTTCAGGTCTCACAGTGACTTGATGATCCACAGTCAAACGTTCAGTTTCCACCAAAGCCCAGTAACAGGCCAAGATCTGTCTCTCAAAAGGAGAGTAGTATCTGCAGAAGGTGGCATGGTCTTGCTCCAAAATCCTAGAGGCCTCTGCTGTGATTCACCTATGGGAGCTTGCCAAAGGCTCCAACAACATGTCTATCTGCCACTGATACCTCAAGCACCATTGGATCTGCTATGTTATATGTCCCAAATGGCAGAGCAGCTTGCACAGCAGCCTGGACCTGTTGCAGAGCCTTCTCCTGTTCTGGGCCCCACTCAAAATTGGCAGTCTCTCGGGTCACTAGATAAATGGGCTAGAGTAGCACACCCAAATGAGGAATGTGTTGCCTCCAAAATCCAAATAGGTGCACTAGGCATTGTGCCTCTTTCTTGGTTGTAGGAGAGGCCAAATGCAGCAGCTTATCCTTTATCTTAGAAGGAATATCTCAACAGGTCCCACATCACTGGACCTGTAGAAATTTTACTGAGATGGAAGTTCCCTGAATTTCAGTCACATTTATTTCCCATTCTCTGGCACTCAAATGTCTCACCAAGTCCAGTGCGTTTGCTACTCCTTGGTCCACTGGATCCAATCAGCATAATGTCATCAATGTAGTGGGCCAGTGTGATATCTTGCAGAAGCAAAAAGCAATCAAGTTCTCTCCGAATAAGATTATGACACAAAGCCACAAAGTTGATATATCCTTGAAGTAGGACAGTAAAAGCCTATTGCTGGCCTTGCCAGCTGAAGGCAAATTTCTTCTGTTGGGCCTTGTGGACACGAATAGAGAAAAAGGCATTTGTCAAGTCAATGGCTGCATACCAGGTACCATGAGATGTGTTAATATGCTCAAGCAATGAAACCACATCTGGTACAGCAGCTGCAACTGGAGTCACCACTTGGTTAAGCTTACGATAATCCACTGTCATTCTCCAAGATCCACCTGTCTTCTGCACAGGCCGAATAGGAGAGTTGAATGGAGATGTGGTGGGAATCACCACCCCTGTGTCTTTCAAATCCTGGATGCTGGCACTAATTTCCATAATCCTATTTTTCTAGGTAGAGGCAGCTCTAATGGCTTCCATTTGGCCTTTTCCACCATAATAGCTCTCACCCTACAAGTCAGGGAACCAATGTGAGGGTTCTGCCAGCTGCTAAGTATGTCTATGCTAATTATGCATTCTGGCACTGGGGAAATTACTACAGGATGAGTCTGGGGACCTACTGGACCCACTGTAAAATAAGTCAGACCTGAGCTAAAACCCCATTAATTATCTTACCTCCATAAACCCCTACTTTAACTGGAGGACCATAATGACATTTGGGGTCCCCTGGAATCAATGTCCGCTCAGAGCCAGTGTCCAGTAGTCCAGAAATGTCTGATCATTTCCCTTTCCCCAGTGCACAGTTACCCTGGTAAAAGGCTGGAGGTCTCCTCGGGGAAAGAAGAGAGAAAGATTCACTGCATAAATTTTCAATAATGTAGTAGGGTCCTTCCTCAAGTATAAGTAGTCTTTGTAGTACTTATATAGAGAAATAAAATTCTCTCTTGTTTAGACCACAACTACTTTTTGGTTTACTCTCACCCATATCCAAACTTAATCCTTAAAGAGCTATTGATATGGTTTGGCTCTGTGTTCCATCCCAAATCTCATCTCGAACTATAATTCCCAAGTGTCGAGAGAGGGACCCAGTGGGAGGTGATTGGATCATGGGGGTGGTTTCCCCCATGCTGTTCTCATGATAGTGAGTAAGTTGTCATGAGAGCTGATGGTTTTATAAGGGGATCTTCCCACTTGGCTCTTTCCCTTTTCTGCTGCCTTGTGAAGAATGTGTCTGCTTCCCCTTCTGCGATGATTTTAAGTTTCCTGAAGCCTCCCCAGCCATGTGGAGCTGTGAGTCAATTAAACCTTTTTCCTTTGCAAATTACTCAGTCTGGGTACATCTTCATAGTAGTGTGAAAATGGACTAATACAGCCATCAAAAATAGTTTACGTAAAATTTGTTAGAAAACAAGGCATAGCTAAACATTTCAGGTGCAATTTTTTATGCTTATATTTCTTCACCAACACCTTAAATGAAAGCATTTGCTAAAGCAATGTTTTTCATTCTTTGTTGCTTTTCCAGTACTTTCCTTTGAGAACTACAGCTACAACTACAATTTTGGTGCCCTTTAATCCCCAATCTATTATTTCCATCCTATTATCTGGCTGATAGTTTCTGTAAAAATATTACTCTTTCCTTCAGTGAGTTTCATCCTTCAGCACCATATGATATACTAGATAGCACTGGGGTAGAGTTAGATCAAACAGAATGAGATTTCAACCTCTAACTATATAATGATAATAGGCTATTTACTTTCTCTCTTTTGTAATATCAATTACTCTACCTTCATGACAGAATTTGTATAAGCATTAAATGAGATGATGTAAACCATAGAGTTTTGCAAAATATGTAGCTTTTTCTATTTTCTCATAGCATGCTATGTAGCACTGTGCAATTATAAGAGTTGTATATGCCCTACTCTTTTTATCCTCTGCTCCAATATTTACTAAAAATATTATAAAGCATTTGACACTTACAAATAAAATTATAAATTTATTATATATGTAAGCTGTGAAAGAAAGTGATTTTAAAAAAACCTTTAAACAGATCACTATCTAAAGACATTACCAAAATTCTAGAAACCACCTCTGTATTTCTTCTGTATCGTATTTTCTAGCTTGCTTTTTTCCAGAGGAAATACTTACTGTAAATTTTGTGTTTATCATTTTAAACTGCCTTTATGTTTCAAATAGTTTTATTATTTGTGTACTTATGTCAAAATATATTGTTTCATTTTATTTTGAACTTTATATAAATGTAATCATTACATGTGTTTTTCTCTTTGTTTTTTTCTGAGCAATATGTTTCTAAATTTCACCATGTTGAATATTATTCAGCCATAAAAAAGAATGAAATCATGTCTTCTGCAGCAACATGAATGGAACTGGAGGGCATTAAGAGAAACAATTCAGAAACAGAAAATCAAATACTATATGTTCTCACTTATAAATAATGTGTACACATGGTCATAAAATGGGGCATAATTGACATTGCAGACTCCAAAGGGTGGGAGAGTGGGAGGTGAATAAGGCATTAAAAATTACTTAATGGGTATAATGTACATTATTCGAATGAAGGCTACACTAAAAGATCAGACTTCAGCAGCATGCAATATATCCATGTAAAAAAAACTACACTTGCACCCCCTTAAATTCATATAAATAAAAATAAAAACAAAATATGTAAAATAAAATAAATTCATCCATGTTATGGTTGTGGTATGTGAACAACATAGGCTTGAACTGTGCAGGTGCACTTACAAGCAGATTTTCTCCTGCCTCTACAACCCCTGAGACAACAAGACCAATGCCTCCTTTTCCTCCTCCTCAGCCCACTCTACATGAAAAAAATGAGGATGAAGACCTTTATAATGATACACTTCAACTTAATGAATAGTAAACATTTTTTTCTTGTTATGATTCTCTTAATAACATTTTCTTTTTTTCTGTAGCTTATCTTCTTATAACAATACTATGTATACTACATTAATCATACAAAAAATGTGTTAATTGACTCGTTATGCTATTAGTAACTTTCAACCAACTTAAGCCTATGAGTAGATAAGTTTTGGGGAAGTAAAAATTTATACCTGGATTTTTGACTGTGTAGGGCCTCAGTGCCCCTAAACCCTGTGTTGTTCAAGGGGGAACCATCCATTTATTCATCTATTTGAGGATATTTGGGTAATCTCTAGGGCTATGTTGCTGCTGTTGTTTTTTTTTTCTGTTTTGTTTTGCTATCTTGAGACAATCTGCTATGAATATTCTTATACAGAGATCCTAGTGCACATGTACAGGAGTTGTCTAGGACATCTAACTAACAGAGTTGCTGTGCTGAAAGTAATTGCTTTCCAAAGTGACCTGCGCACATTTATGAACCTTTGAGCCATGTAAATGAGTGTCCCTAAGTCAGCAATCAAACACTAGATTTACAGACTTCTCAATTTCAACCAATATAAAAGGAGGAAAATAGAATTTCATAGTGAGTTAATTTATATTTTTCTGATTGATAATAATATACACCTTTTATAATTTATTAATGTGTTTCCTATGACAAACACATTAATATTTTTCAATTGTGTGTGTACAGGTATCTCCTTCAAGTTGGCAACTTGTCACCGAGTCTCGCTCTGTCACCCAGGCTGAAGAGCAGTGGCGCCATCTTGGCTCACTGAAAGCTCCGCCTCTCGGGTTCATGCCATTCTCCTGCTTCAGCCTCCTGAGTAGCTGGGACTACAGGCACCCGGCACCACGCCAGTCTAATTTTGTTTTTGTATTTTTAATAGAGACGGAGTTTCACCGTGTTAGTCAGGATGGTCTTGATCTCCTGACCTCGTGATACACCCGCCTCGGCATCCCAAAGTGCTGAGATTACAGGCGTGAGCCACTGCACCCAGCCTTGGGAGACTTTTATGGAACATTTGTTGTAATTTTAAAATAAATTTACCAATATTTTCTTTCTTGTTTTTACTTTTTGGCTGCTTTTATAGAAGTCCCCCATTAAAAAAAAAAAAAAAAAACCTTCAGATGATAACAAATATTCTCCTTCACTTCCTTCTAAAATTTTAAGTTGTCCTTTTTCACATTTCAGTCTTCATTCTACCTGGAATTGATTGGGACATTTGGTGAGATTCTAATAACCATGCCACATCAAAATTGTAGGACTACAATTTCAATTTTCTTTTGTGTGTTAGATGACTAATTCCCATTGAATCACTGATACTTTTCATAGTGATTAGTAATGCCGACTCTGCAATGTGTCATGTTTCCACAAATCTTGGCCCTGATTCTGAGCTCATTATTCTGTTTCTTAGGCAATTTTATTACTATATCAATGCCACTGTATTAATTACTAGGGAAATACACTGCTATCTTGCTTGGCAATGTTCATCATGTCACAAGAACTGTCTTAGATCTTCTTGGGCTTTATTCTACCATATGCACTTTAAAATAAATTTTATTGTATTAATTTTTAATTAATATGAAAAACAGCAACCACCAATTTAAAAAATTATTATTTTAGCTAGAATTTAATTAAATAGCTATAAAATTTGGAGAGAAATCATAATTTGCTAAACTCCCTCATAAATTATGATTTTTATAAATTATTTAACATTTTCTAAGTAGAAAAAAATCATATCACCTAAAAATAATAGACTTCATATTTTTCCTCTTGTGATGGTTAGTTTTATGTGTCAGTTTGTAGGATGTTTCTGGGTGAAATTAACATTTAAATCCACAAACATGGAGTAAGTGGATTGCACTCTATAATATGAGTGGGCCTCATCCAATCACTTGAAAGCCTGAATAGAACAAAAAGACCAGCTTCACTGAGCAAGAGGAAATTCTCCATCAGACTCCCATCAGACTTCATCTACACCCTCAGCTTTCCTGAATCTCTACCTGCTGGCCTACACTAAACATTTTGGACTTGCCAATCTCCATAATCATATGAGCTACTATTGATTTGGGCCCTCTTTAGTTCACTGGCAGGAAACTGGCTTAATACGGGATCCTACTGGTGGCTCTAGGCTTGAACTGTTAGAGTGTGGCAGTGTCTACCCTCCTGGTAACTTTACCTGTCACATTATTAGCATATAATGCCTATCGACCCCTAGACACTTGCTCTAGTTTTAGCTTAGTGTTTCTTCTTCAGTTGTGAGTTACTTTCTTTTTTAATCTTTAGAGATTTTTCTTTCTAGGGAGCCCAGTGATGATCTAAAAAGTATGTTTTTTGAAATGCATCCAGGATAGAGTTTTATTTGACTGGAAGTGCACTCAGATAAGTAAGCTCGATTTTTATTGATTCAGTATCATTACACAACACTTAAGATATACCAAATATTTTGCTGGCAATGAAGTTTTAAGAGAGAGAATGAGTTTCTTTTCTTTTCTTTTCTTTTCTTTTTTCTGAGACAGTCTCACTCTGTTGCCCAGGCTGGAGTCCAATGGCACCATCTTGGCTCACTATAACCTCTGCCTCCCAGGTTCAAGCAATTCTCCTGTATCAGCCTCCCGAGTAGCTGGGATTACAGGCATACACCACCATGCCCTGCTAATTTTTGTATTTTTAGTAGAGACAGGGTTTCACCATGTTGGCTGGGCTGGTCTTGAATTCTTGACCTTGTGATCCGCCTGACTTGGCCTCCCAAAGTGCTGGGATTACAGACGTGAGCCACCATGCCTGGCCGAGAGAGAATGAGTTTCTATTAAATGGAATATAAGCTTCATGAGGGCAGGATCTTTGTCTATTATGTTCTATACCCAGAGCATGACAGGTGCCCAGGAAATACCTATGGATATTAACTTGAATCCTTTGGGAGGACTCCAGGTTGATCAATAATTTTAACTGCTCAGTTTCTGAAGGTAATATTGGAAAAGGAAATAAAATTCCTTATTATCGATGATATCACACTTAGATAAGACATTATAAAGAAAAAGAAGGAGAAGGAGAAAAATCATTAAGGAGCTTCCTTCTGCAAGGATGTGCACCAGCCACCTTATGACCTCGTTTTTTTTTTCTTACTCTGTTGCGCAGGCTGGAGTGCAGTGGCACGATCTTG
The DNA here is from genome assembly GCF_000001405.40 of Homo sapiens. Lineage (NCBI taxonomy): Eukaryota > Metazoa > Chordata > Mammalia > Primates > Hominidae > Homo > Homo sapiens. The sequence goes on along the minus strand of NC_000002.12, from coordinate 16,907,051 downwards.
GCTCACTGCAACCTCCACCTCCTGGGTCCAAGCAATTCTCCTGCCTCAGCCTCCTGAGTAGCTGGGATTACAGGCACACACCACCATGCCCAGCTAATTTTTGTATTTTCAGTAGAGATGAGGTTTTGCCATGTTGGCCAGGCTGTTGAACTCTTGACCTCAAGTGATCCACTTGCCTCAGCTCCCAAAGTGTTGGGATTACAGGCGTGAGCCACTGCGCCCAGCCTGACCTCATTTTTAAAGAAAATTTACCACAGTTTTCTCACACAGCTCATTCATTTCACCCCATTTCTAACGTTCATATTTTGTAATTTGCTCCCAGAACACCCTTTAAGCTATTGAAATATCCCAACTCAGACCTACTTGATGTACAATGCAGAAGAAAGTTGGTTGCAGGAAGATAAGATTTCTGTGGCTTCAAAATCTGTTTCTAGTTCATCCATTGTCTAATGTCTATAGGTAAACTCAACCATGTGTCCTTTGCAAGAGTACCTGGGAGGGGAGCATGTAGAGGTCAGGGAAATAGGAAAGTATTTCTAAGAGAGTGCCATAAAGGCTGAAATGGCAAGAGAAAAAAAAAGAATTATATATTTTTAAAATTGATTAAACCAAGGTGCAAGTTGGCCTCTATACTAGATGATAACATAGAAAGCTACTCATCCATGAAATAGAAGTAGCTGAAGACTGCTGCTTCTGACAATTCATTGCTGCAGATAAATGTTACCACAGAATCACCAAAGGGGAGGTGGGCCTGTCTGATGGTTAACTCTGAATGTCAACTTGATTGGATTAAAAGATACAAAGTATTGATCCTGGATGTGTCTGTGAGGGGGTTGTCGAAAGAGATTAACATTTGATTCAGTGGGCTGGGAAAGGCAGACCCACTCTTAATCTGAGTGGGCACAATCTAATCAGCTGCCAGCATGGCTAGAATATAAGCAGGCAGAAAAATGTGAAAAGAGAGACTGGCCGAGCCTCCCAGCCTAAATCTTTCTCCCATGCTGGATACTTCCTGCCCTCGAACGTCAGACTCCAAGTTCTTCAGTTTTGGAACTCAGACTGGCTGTCCTTGCCCCTCAGCCTGCAGACAGCCTATTGTGGGACCTTGTGATTGTGTGAGTTAGTACTTAATGAACTCCCCCTTCCATTAGTTCTGTCCCTCTAGAGAACCCTGACTAATACAGATTTTATTACCAGGAGTGGTTCTAGAAGGACAGAATATTAAAGATGGAGTTCTTTTGTTGGTTTTGGGGTCTCTGGAGTTGGTTGCTTAATGAGTAGACCCAAAAATACTAAGGACTGTAATTCTAATAGTATGGAGAACACTAGTAGTCCTTGGTGTGAACTATTTAGAGAATTATTAAAAATAAATGCATTTGACACTCCTGATTCATCGCTTGTCAGAGGCAAGGAGTTCGGTGACTCTGTACGTAGTATCTTTGACCATATGTGGAGAACCAAGGAATATAATGAAGCTAGTTGGTTGCTCCTAAGCTCAGTGGACAAAGTGATGAAAGAAAATGATGATGTCAGGGATTACATCTCCCAGCTTCAGAAGCAAATACTGAGCCTCAAATCTCCTAAGATTGCCCCAAGTCTAACATCACACACCGGGGCCTGTTGCGGGGTAGGGGGAGGGGGGAGGGATAGCATTAGGAGGTATACCTAATGTAAATGATGAGTTAATGGGTGCAGCACACCAACATGGCACATGTATACATATGTAACAAACCTGCACGTTGTGCACATGTACCCTAGAACTTAAAGTATAATAAAATATATATATATATGTATATATATATATAAAGATTGCCCCAAGTCAGAGTCTTATCTCCTGTAGAGAAATAGCTGTAATTGTGGAAAAACAGACACAAGCTCTTATCATGCGAGTGGCTGACCTGCAATGAAAGGTGCATGCACAGCCTCCCCAGGTGTCTACTGTTAAAGTGAGGGCATTGATTGGAGGAGAATGGGACCCTGCAAGTTGGAATGGGGACATGTGGGAGGACACTGGTGAAGCTGGGGACACTGAGTTTATAAATTCTTTTGAACCTTTTTTGCCAGAAGAAACAGCTTCCCCATCCTCAGTAGTGGCAACATCCCCTCCCTGTCCCATGCTGCCATCAACCTTTCCACCTTTAAGGAGATAAATCCAGAGCTGCTGGAGAAAACAGTGATGGCTTCCCCTGAGGCAGTCGCCAGGCAAGATAATGTTGATTCTTTTCAGGAGCCACCCCAAAACCCCCGTTTCCTTCTAGATTTATAACTAGACAAAAGTCCCGGCAGGCACCTAGAGGTGAGGTTGAGAGTCTGACCCATAAGGAGGTGCACTACACTCGAAAAGAACTGTTTGAGTTTTCTAATTTATATAAACAGGAATCTGGAGAACAGACATGGGAACGGATATTAAGGGTGTGGTATAATGGTGGAAGAAACGTAGAGTTGGATCAGGCTGAATTAATTGATTTGGGCCCACTAAGAAGGGACTCTGCATTTAGTGTTACAGCTTGGGGAGTTAAAAAAGGTTCTGATAGTTTATTTGCTTGGTTAGCTGAAATATGGATTAAAAGATGGCCCATCGTGAGTGAGCTGGAAATGCCTCATCTCCCTTCGTTTAGTGCAGGGGAAGGGATCCAAAGACTTAGGGAGATTGGGATAGTGGAGTAGATTAGTCACTTTAGACCTACTCATCCCATATGGGAAGGTCCAGGAGATATACACTTGACCAATATCCTGTGGAATAGATTTGTGAGGGCAGCACCTGCATCTTTGAAGAGCCCTGTAATTGCTCTTCTTTGTATGTCAGATCTAACAGTGGAAACTGCAGTCACTCAACTATAAATGTTAAATACAGTGGAAATAATTGGATCCTGAGGTGGCAGAGGCCAAGTGGTGGCACTCAACCATAAAAGGCAAGGTGGGCATAGCTACTGAAATGGACAGCAGAGGCAAAGTGGCAATCAGAGTAGTCTGGCTCATGTAGAGCTCTGGCATTGGCTAACTAGTGACGGTGTTCCCAGAAGTGAAATTGGTAGGAAGCCTACTGCATTCCTACTTAATTTATATAAGCAGAAAACTTCTAGATCAAATGGACAAAAGAATAATTTGAATTATAAAAACAGAGAATCACAGCCCCTCAATCAATTTCCAGACTTAAGCAAGTTAAAAGCCCAGAACCCCTTGAATGAAGGGAAGACCAGGTCCCCTTGAGGAAGGACCCCACTACATTACTGACAATTTATGCAGTGTATCTTTCTCCCATCTTTCCCAAGGAGACCCTCCGGCCTTTTACCAGGGTTACTGTGCATTGGGAAAAGAGATATGATCAAACATTTCAGGGTCTACTGGACTCTGGCT